>NC_000012.12:31512809-31665504 GCF_000001405.40 Homo sapiens | reverse complement strand
GAAAAAAGAAAAGAAAAGGAAAAGAAAGAAAAGAGATGTCTTTAGGTTGACTGGACAAAAGAAATAGTGAAAAGTAGCAGAACTTGGTCCAACCTTGGCAAGTTTGGTCTGACTAGAGTGACACAAAAAGTCCATCTCCAGAGCTGGGCAGAGGTGGCAGAAGAAAGGACCTAGTCATTTGGTCTTTCTCTTCAGCAGGTGTGAAGCACAGTACCACACAACTGACTGATTATGCTATTCAAGTCAATTTTTTTCAAAAAAAAGTTGTAGGCTGGGCACAGTGGCTCCTGCCTGTAATCCCAGCACTTTGGGAGGCTGAGCAGGTGGATCACCTGAGGTCAGGAGTTCGAGACCAGTCTGGCCAACATGGTGAAATCCCATCTCTACTAAAAATACAAAAATTAGCCAGGTGTGGTGGCGGGCACCTGCAATCCCAGCTACTCGGGAGGCTGAGGCAGGAGAATTGCTTGAACCCAGGAGGCAGAGGCTGCAGTGAGTAGAGATCAAGCCATTGCACTCCAGCCTGGGTGACAGAGTAAGACTCTGTCTCAAAAAAAAAAAAAAAGAAAGAAAGAAAAGAAATGTATAAATGGCCAGGTGTGGTGGCTCACGCCTGTAATCCCAGCACTTTAGGAGGCAAGGTGGGTGGATCACCTGAGGTCAGGAGTTCGAGACCAGCCTGGCCAACAGGGTGAAACCCCGTCTCTACTAAAAATACAAAATTAGCCAGGCGTGGTGGTACATGCCTGTAATCCCAGCTACTCGGGAGGCTGAGGCAGAGAATCGTTTGAACCCGGGAGGGGAAGGCTGCAGTCTGCCAAGATTGTGCCATTGCACTCCAGCCTGGGCAACAAGAGCAAAACTCCATCTCAAAAAAAAAAAAAAAAAGAAAGAAAAAGAAATGTATAAATACTGTGCCTCCTAAAAACCTCTTAGAAGAGCACAGGCCACAAACTTTTCTGTGACTTGCATTTTTCTTGGGCTTAACAAACCTTGACTGGTTGAGACTCATGCCTCAGTCTCTCATTTCGGCTGACAAAGTATTGAATACTTAGTATGTTCCAGAAACTACCGAGCACCACGAATTAAGACTGACAAAATACTGCTAAAACAAAGACTAAAATTAGTAAACTCAATCCAAGAGTCACTGTCTCCTCTTGACTCCATCATAGAGTGATTTTCCTGCTGCTTGAAATGTAGTATAATGACCTCTCTGGTAAAACTCAAAGTCCAATTCAACCAAGGAATTTGGACTGGAGCTAAATAGTTACCAAACAAGCGAAGAGGGATGGAGAAACGCTGAAATAACAAATTTCAGCTGACTCTTGATCTTCGGATTGGAGTAATAAGGAACAGTGGGTACTACTGAGGCAGGAGAATGGCAGAGGAAGTCAGGGGTGAAGGGGACCCGTTGGACATAGGCTAGCTGAAGCAATACCAAAAGCAAAGCATACAAGATAGCAGAAACAGGACATATGAAATAAGACAGTAAGCAGTAAGAGATACGGGAGTAAGCAATGAGTTAGAACATGCAAGATAAGGAAAATAAGTGGAAAGGGGTTGCAGTAGCAATTTGGTTACAAGAACTAAAAGTAAAGATGAGCAATTTTGTCAGAAAAGATAAAATAAGGTTAAGCAAGGATGCACAATTAGCTTATGAGAAATAAAGTGCGGTTTAGGCACAATGAGGGAAAGGCCAGGATGAGCAATTCACTTACGAAAAACAAAGTAAGGTTAAGCAAGTGAGGAAAAAACATATAAAAGGCCATGAACTATAACAAACTGGGGCTGATACCACTCGCAGGTCAGCCTGATCCGTTGCTGATTGCATTCTGCTTAACAAACTGTTTGCTGCCTTGCTACTTGTATGTGTCATGTCCAATTCTTTGTTGATGGCACTAAGAACCTGGGACTTGACATCAACCAGTTAACACTATGGCAAAGTAGAGGCATACATGCCCTGTCTAAATAGCTGCTACTGCCAGGCACGATGGCTCATGCCTGTAATCCCAGCACTTTGGGAGGCCGAGGCTGGCGGATCACTTGAGGTCAGGGGTTCGAGACCAGCCTGGTCAACATGGTGAAACCCTGTCTCTACTAAAAATACAAAATTAAGCCAGGCGCGGTGGCTCACGCCTGTAATCCCAGCACTTTGGGAGGCCGAGGAGGGCGGATCACGAGGTCAGAAGTTCGAGACCAGCCTGATCAACATGGTGAAACCCCATCTCTACTAAAAATACAAAAATTAGCCGGGCATGGTGGCATGAGCCTGTAGTCCCAGCTACTCAGGAGGGTGAGGCAGGAGAATGGCGTGAACCCGGGAGGCGGGGCTTGCAGTGAGCCGAGATCACACCACTGCACTCCAGCCTGGGTGACAGAGTGAGACTCTGTCTCAAAAAAAAAAAAAATTTTTTTTTGTAGAGATAGGGGTATCACTATGTTGCCTACGCTGGTCTCAAACTCTTGACTTCAAGCTGTCCTCCTGCACTGGCTTCCTAAAGCACTGGGATTACAGGCACTGCACCCAACAGAAGAGGGAAACTTTGAACAGCCCACTCACTCACAGCTCCTGTTTTATGGGAAAATAAGCAACTCTGGAAGGAATGTGAGGTTTATGGAGCGACATTCACTGAATTAAAGGAGAGCGAAAGGACTGGGTGTTTAGCTTCCATCTAGGAACTCTGCAATGGTCATGCGC
Source organism: Homo sapiens (assembly GCF_000001405.40). Lineage (NCBI taxonomy): Eukaryota > Metazoa > Chordata > Mammalia > Primates > Hominidae > Homo > Homo sapiens. The sequence continues at coordinate 31,662,806 of NC_000012.12, read as the reverse complement.
TATGAACTATGAACCTCCTAACAGGTGAGATTTCTGGATCACTTATAGCTATCCAGGGTCTTGACAGCTGACTCTAGGATTTCTCTTGGGGAGACAGTTACTTGGGAAAATAGCTTGATAAGCTTGGGTTAGAATGGGAAATTACGCAACAAGGCAACAAAAAATATGGCTAACCTGAGGCTAGGCTCAGAGGCTCATGTCTGTAATACCAGCACTTGGGGAGGTTGAGGAGGCCAGATGTTTAAGACCAGCCTGGACAACATAGCAAGATCCTGTCTCTACCAAAAAAAAAAAAAAAAAAGAAAGAAAGAAAAAAGAAAACAACAAGACTGAGTTTTGCCGGTTTCTGTTTTGTTTTTGAGACAGGCCAGGCGAGAGTGCAGTGGCAGGATCACAGCTTACAGCCTCAGCCTCCCAAAGTACTGAGACTACAGGCATGAGCCACCACGCCTAGCATTGCTCTGGTTTTTTGTAGAGGTTGGAGGGAACTGAAAACAGCAAAGATCTGTAGCGCCTTAAAGGTTTCATTAGGGTAGTACCTAGACAGGGCTTGGCCTCCTGGCCAGTAGATTGCCCAGTAAGGATCACTGTGGGGCCACAGGTCAGCTCTCTCCCACCAGAATTTGCATCTGGGGGTCAAAAGCCGCAACTGGATTTCAGGGGTGAGGCTACCACTGCTGGTGACTTCAGTGTTCTCCTCCAGGAAAGCCTTTATCTCAGGGTCCAAAAAGCTTCCAGCTCCTCTCCAGGGACACTGGCCACAGGGAAACAAGAGAAGACCACTGCTTCGCAGAGCCTGCAAGAGGAGACCACAGTGGTTCCTGTGTGCTTTCCAACCTAGACTCAAAGCCATCAGTCCTTTCCCCAAACACAGGTTCTGTCAATGTTCTGTTGATAATAGCTGCTTCTCAAGGAGAATGAACAAGGGTGTGTCTCCCAACTTGATCTCAACCGGAACCTCTGACTCTGAAAAAAAAAAGAAAAGTAATACTGAGAATTCTGAGGAAGAGCAACATTTCTAGATCCTATTACATAATAAGAAAATATTGGCCGGGCGCGGTGGCTCACGCCTGTAATCCCTGCACTTTGGGAGGCCAAGGCGGGTGGATCACGAGGTCAGGTGTTCAAGACCAGTGTGGCCATCATGGTGAAACCCTGTCTCTACTAAAAATACAAAAAATTAGCCAGGCGTGGTGGCGGGTACCTGTAATCTCACTACTTGAGAATTGCTTGAACCCGGGAGGCGGAGGTTGCAGTGTGCCGAGATCGCACCATTGCATTCCAGCCTGGGCAACAAGAGCAAAACTCCGTCTCATAAAAAAAAAAAAGAAATAAAATATTACAGTGTATATTACTGTATCTGATGATTCACATGTGCAAGTTCATTTCAGATGAAAGCTTTGGTGCATCAATTGGGAAAATCCAATCTTTTTAAATGATACTTTTCACAAGAGAATCCTTTTAGTAATTTAACACAACAAATATACAAGCATTTGATTTTGAAAGAATCCTCAAGAAAATGCCTCTTACAGGAAATCAGCCATACAGTCATCCTTCAGTATCCTCAAGTGATTGGTTCCGGTATCCCCTGCTTCCAGGATACCACAATCAGAGGATACTCAAGTCCCTTATATAAAATGGCATCATATTTGTATATAAACTAGGCATATGCTGTGGTATACTTTACTTTAAATCATCTCTGGATGACTCATAATACTTAATACAACGTAAATGCTATATAAGTAGTTGTTACACTATTTTTGTGTTATTTTTATTGTTGTAATTTTATATTGCTATATTGTTATATTGTGGGCCAACTGTACCTTTAAAGTTCTTTCATAAATTTAACAAAGTAGGCATGCTTGGTAACTGTGAACAAAATAACAGAAGTCTTCTGTCTTCAGGAAGCTTATATTCTAGTGGTGGGATAAAGCAGTTAACAGGGCAAACACAGTTTTTGCCTTTATGAAGTCTAGCCAAGAGTTCTGGGGGTTAATGAATTTATAATTGTCTGTGGGCAGAGATATATTAATACAAATTATATTGACTACTCTATTTCATTAAAGATTGTTGTATCATAAAACAATGCAATCAAGATTCAGGTTTTTTCCTTTAAAAATACTGTATGCATTTAATTGTAATAAAAGAACATCAACTCCTAAATCTCTTTCTGTAAAAGTATCTGATGGTTCGATTTTACCAAGCCTAAACTGAAAAGATTTGCTCCAACAGAAAAACACCTGTGCAATTGATCACTAAGATTTGTTTAAAAATATATATATATAGAAAAACACCCGGATTAGAATAAATGAGAATGAGGAACAACTTAAACACAACTTATACACCCAGTTGTTTGGGGACCTCGGATCTCTTCTGCATAAATGTTTTAAATGGTCTTAAATCCACTAAAGTATTTAGGGGTCAAAAATCCAAATCCCCACAAGGGGCTGGACATCATAAATGAGTGATGCAGGCTGGCTGTAAAATAACAGAGGGGCTGTGGCAAGCTGGAGACTGTTTTCAAACAGTTCAAAAAGGCTAGGCAGGACATGCTGCCAGATCCTCCGATTTCTCAAAATCATCAAAAAAATCTAGATATTGACACATTAGCTTCCACCTTTTTTTTTTTTTTTTTTTTTTTTTTTGAGACAGAGTCTCTGTTGCCCAGGCTGGAGTGCAGTGGCGTGATCTCGGCTCACTGCAACCTCCGACTCCCAGGTTCAAGCGATTCTCCTACCTCAGCCTCCCGAGTCCTGGGATTACAGGGGCGTGCCACCACGCCCGGCTAATTTTTGTATTTTTTTTTTTTTTTTTTTTTTTAGTAGAGACGAGGTTTCGCCATGTTGGCCAGACTGGTCTGGAACTCCTGACCTGAAGCGATCCTCCTGCCTCGACCTCCCAAAGTGCTGGGATTACAGGCGCGAGCCACCACGCCCGGCCAGCTTCGGCTTGTAAACATCAGCAACTCATTCAAATATCAAAACACAGGGCAGGTCAAAATGCATGTCAGGTCATACATAGCCTGTGAACTCAGCGTAGACTTCCAGTGGGTGTTAGTTACCCCACATCAGTGTCCTGGGATCGTAGGGGTCTCTCAGGGCCTGGTATCCCACTAGACTAATTGTTAAGCAGTACTAGGCTGTCACTTGAATCACACAACGCAGCCTAAGTTTAAAGGTAACGCAGAGCAAATAGAGATTATTTGGGATTTGGACCCCATGTCATTTAGATCGGCGCTTCCCTCTCCCGTCCCAGCACCGATGAGGCATGGGTTATGAAGTATGTGACTGTGGTGACCACTTGGTATTTCTCTTAATGAGAAGGAGAGCTGATGGGATGAAAAGAGTTACGTTCCACAACGGGTAGACGGCGGCGTCATTTTCCTCCAGAGGCGGGGTGGAGTCGATCTTAAAGGGGCAGGCACCGTCCTCCCTGTCTCCTTACCTAGCTTTGCTGACACCGCCCTCGGAAGTAAAGCATAGGGCTCGCCTGTCACTCGCCCTGGCGACTGTTCCCGCTCATGCTTTACATTTCCGGGGTCCCGCTACCAAAACTGAGCCACGCTCTAGCAGAGCGCCGCGGCCCGGCAGGGGGCGGGACGGACGGCGGCCCCTCGCGGCCCCGCCCTTTTTCCCAGCAGCGCTTTCTTTCTCCTCCACTTTCTTAAAGGGACAGAAGCGCGAAACCAAAGGGCGCCCTGACCTCACCTGGAAAATAAGGGAACGTTAAATCTGTGTGCAATGTTTGTAGAATTTTGATTCCTAAAAAGTTCATTCTGAAACTATGCAACACCTACTATGTGCCAGTCGCACTTCCAGGCACCGGGCATAGAGTGGTGAGCAAAATAGACACCGTATATTTAAAAAAAAAAAAAAAAAAAGACACAGTATAAGCCCTCTGTGCTGCCTACATTCAACTGCGATTAAATCATAATGAATGTCCTTTCTTTTCTAATAATTCATAAATTCACTAGCAATTTATTTGCAGCCTATATCACTCGAGTCTGGATCTACATATATCCACCTTTCAACTGGACCCACATCCCACTGGCCCCTCAACTCAACACTCAAAGTTAACTCACCATCTGACCTGACAACAATTAAAACCTGCTCTGGCGTGCTAGAGGGGGGAAAACGGTCCAAAACTAAGAAACAGGAAAATCGTGTTTCTGCATTTTAGTTTGCAGTTTGAGAAATGCACTGGCACCTGCCTGTTCAAAATTAGAATTTGTCGCTTGGGTTCTGCGCTCCTGCCATGGGTGTGACAGCTTTCTGTCTTTCCATGTAAACTGGAATCTTTAGGAACTACTACAAGGAAAGGAAACTTTGTGCTTCCAGTCAACAGCCCCAGATGCAGCCTTATCATTTCTTTCTTAGTTGAATGGTGTATTTGCTACATTCTTGTTGATAAGCTATACACCTTGCATTTCACAGTATTCTGCCTTAGATTTCCTGTGTAATAACTGATATAATGTGTTTATGAACTGCATTCATCCACTTATGAGCTGCTTTTTTCTTAATTAGTTGCTGATGTAAACGCTTGTTTTCTCAACTATAACTTTTCATTACCACACACTCTCCGATTCTCCTGCTAGCAGTGAACCTTGATCCATGTTCAAGATCAATTTCTATAAGAAATATTGTTTTTAACCAGCTTCGGTGTTCTATCCCAATTAATAGTTTGAACATCCCAGTCACTGCCCAAGAAACCAGAACGAACAGGCTAACCTAACATTTTTACAAAAGAGGGTTGGTTCCTGGAAAAAAGCTTGGTAGTCATCACTGAAGATGCATTTAATAATGTTTGGATAACTCATTCAAAACTTGCAACTTGGCTGAAGGGACTGCAACATGCCTTTCCTGTCCCATAATGGATTTAAAACTGGTCCAGTTCTTTCTATCCCTCCTGCCATTGCCTTAGTTTGGCATTATAATGGCTTGCCTGGGTTCCTATAACTTGTCTATCTCTAATTCTGCCTTCCTTAAAACTATTCTTTTTTTTTTTTTTTTTTTTTTGAGATGAAGTCTTGCTCTGTCGCCCAGGCTGGAGTGCAGTGGCATGATCTCGGCTCATTGTAACCTCTGCCTCCTGGGTTCAAGCCATTCTCCTGCCTCAGCTTCCCCAGTAGCTGGGATTATAGGCGCACACCACCACACCCAGCTAATTTTTGTGTTTTTAGTAGAGACGGGGTTTCACCATGTTGGTCAGGCTGGTGCCCAACTTTTGACCTCGTGATCCGCCCACCTCGGCCTCCCAAAGTGTTGGGATTACAGGTGTGAGCCACTGCGACCGGCCAAGATTATTCTTTATATTGCAGCTTAAATGATTTTTTTCTGAAACTTAGATTCCATAGTCTAGAAAAGGCCTGCCCTTCCTTTAGTCCCAGACAAAGCATGAAAAACAGGGATATATGGATTTTCTTTTCTGTTGTTTGGTGTTGATGCATTGTAATGTCTTAATAGAAAGGACCGTCTAGATTTTAACAAAATTGACCCACATACATCCAAGCAGACTTGTGAACTGATAACAATTTGAGCTGTTGTCTATCCTTGTGATTTTTTTACTTTAAATACCTGCCCTACATTTTTGTTTACAAAGCCAGTTCTCTAATAATCGGTCCCTCTTGCAGGTGCAAGTAAAAAATTCTATTCCCTACACAACTTTGTCTTTAAGGGTTTTTTGGTTTTTCAACAAGTTATTCAATTACACTTATTAACTGTATGATCTTGGACACATTGCTAAACCTTCTTAATAATCAGTTTCTTCATCTGTAAAATAGTGATGATAGTAATAATGTTTTAGGAAGATTTAATAAGATAAAAGCACATCTTGTTTAGCCCAGTTCCTGGCATGTAGTAAATGCTTGCTAAGTATGCTATTACAGTGATGATCATTATTAGAAACACAGAGATAGTGTTGATGAGCAGCAGATCAGGTTTTCAGTTAAAGGTGAGAGGATCAAACTTGAATTTTAGAAAAATGTTTTATGCTGCAGGTAGCAAAGAGTTAAAGGCGGGGCAAGACTGAAGACAAGGAAACCGCCATTGGAGGATATTATGGTAATCCAAGCAAACAATAATGGAGACAGAACTAAGGTAACTGCGATAGGGATGGAAAGAATTGGAACATTTGAAAATGATTAAGGATGAGCTATTAGCAGGACTTGGAGACTAATTAAATACACTCGTTTAACCGTAATGCTAGCCAATCTAAGGGCAAGATGGTTTCTCTTGCTCCACTCGATTGGCCTGTGCTGTTCATCAGCAGGCTATCTGTGTTCTCCCTTGCTTAAAACCTGCTCTAGCTCCCCAGACCTTCAATGGTACAGCCGGATTCCTGACCACAGCTTTCCTGGCCCATGCTGATCAGTCCCGACTTAACCTATCCTGCCTCTTTTCAAAACACTCCTCTTCTCCCCTCTCTGCTGCAATTTGTTTTCCTCCCACAGCGCCTTGTTCTCTCATCCCTAGGCCTTGTTGAAGACAGAAAGCTGCCACTGCTAACCGCTCCTCACTGTCCAAACCACCTACTCGTCCTTCAGAACTCAGTTCAACGTTAAGGTCCTCTGAAAAGCCTTCCCCAACATGCCAGCCTACACGCTAATCTTCCTATTTTCTTAGCTTCCTATGGGCATGTACAACAAGCATATCAAGCAGAACCGTCACTGCCTAGACTTGAAAGCAGACCATGTCATACCTCTTTTAGCCTCTGGCACAGACACTCAATAAACTCTGTTAAATGAAAGAAAAGGCAAATAAATACATGAGTAAAATAACAAACATTACATATCAGTATCTCATTTAAAAAATTTACTTTTAACAGCTTTATTGAGGTATATTTGACTTCACATTGGCAACTTTGCATGTTTACAGAGTACAGTCTAATGTCCTGACATATGTATTGTCAACCCAAATGAGAGACTGAGGCAAGAATCTCAATCAATCCAGGTTTATTGAGCCAGAGCTTAAAGGTGTGCCCAGGAAAACCCTGAGTCACAGAAACATGAGTCTGTGGCCCGTGCTCCTTGGGAAAGGCTTCAGGAGACTCGGTATTTACACATTGCTTTAAGAGAAAAGACATGCAGGAAAAGGGAGATAGGCGTGAAGCAAATGATGACATTCTTGTGAGATTTTAATTAGTGCCCAGTACATCTATGCTATACATGAGATAAGGCAAACATTCGAAAATAGGGAGTAAAGGAAGAATTCATTATTCAGACTTCTCAGGATAGGTAGAAGAATAATGGATGTCATCTTTGTTTTTGCACTTGGGAAGATAAGGCTTATAATTGACACAGTCGGTGTGAAATTTACCAGACTTTAGGTTCCTGGACAAGGAGTTAGACTTAAGTCACAGACTTAAAGTGACAGTTGACATGTCCTTGTTTATGGGAGGATTTATTATACACCTTGAAAGGTTTAGGAGCCAGGAAAGAATTTTCTTAGGCGCGATTTGTGAGGGCAGTTATCTGGAAATGCCTGAGACCTTTTCCTTTTGTAGGGATCTGGCTAATGTATAGCGCTTTGACACAAGGTTGTGAAGTAAGCAGGCTTAATTTTCCCTTTGGCATAATGAGTTTGGGGGTTTTGAGAGTTTTTATGTTCCTTTACAGTATATACTCATGAAACCATCACCAAAATCAAGATAGTGAATATATTCAGTGCTCCTGTGTAATTCCTCCCTCCAGTTCTTCCCCTACTTTTTTTTTTTTATCTTTTTGTTCTGTTTTTTTGTTTGTTTGTTTGTTTCATGAGACAGAGTCTCACTCTGTCGCCCAGGCTGGAGTGCAGTGGCGCGATCTTGGCTCACTGCAACCTTCTCCTCCCGGGTTCAAGCAATTCTCATGCCTCAGCCTCCCGAGTACCTGGGATTACAGGCGTGAACCACCACACCTGGCTAATTTTTATATTTTTAGTAGAGACAGCGTTTCACCATGTTAGCCAGGCTGGTCTCTAATTCCTGACCTCAAGTGATCTGCCCACCTCAGCCTCCCGAAGTGCTGGGTTTACAGGCATGAGCCACGGCACCCGTCCAGTCCTTCTCCCTTCTACCACAACCATTCTTGGCTTTCTGTCGCTACAGATTACTTTGCTTTTTCTAGATTTTCATATGCATGCAATTGTATAGAGTTTATACGGTTTTTGTCTTATTTCTTTCATTAGTAATTATTTTTATTCATCCATGTTTCCTGCATCAATAATTCATTCCTTTATATTGCTAAGTAGTGTTTCATTGTACATATAGATAAGCTCCCATGTTTATCCATTTACATGTTGATGAACATTTGAGTTCTTTCTTTCTTTTACTATTACAAATAAAGCTGTTTTGAACATTTGTGTACAAGTCTTTGTACAGACTTAGGCTTTCTTTCCTTTGCATAAATACCTAGGAGTGCAATGGCTAGATCATATGGTAGGTGTATGATTAACTGCAAACTTTTTCTAAAATGGTTGTGCCTGCTGGGCACCATGGCTCATGCCTGTAATCCCAGCACTTTGGGAGGCCAAGGTGGGAGGATCACCTGAGGTCAGGAGTTCAAGAACAGCCTGGCCAACATGGTGAAACCGTGTCTCTACTAAAAATACAAAAATTAGTCGGACATGGTGGCGTGTGCCTGTAATCCCAGTTACTCAGGAGGCTGAGACAGAAGAATCACTTGAACCCGGGAGGTGGAGGTTGCAGTGAGCTGAGATCGTGCAACCACACTCCAGCCTGGACGACAGGGTGAGGCTCTGTCTCAGAAATAAAATAAAACAAAATAGTTGTGTCATTTTACATTTCCACCATCATTGTATGAGATCTCCAATTGCTCCACATCCTAGCCAACACTTGCTATTATTTGTCTTCTTTATTTTTTTTGAGACAGAGTTTCACTCTGTCACCCAGGATGGAGTGCAGTAGCGCTATCTCAGCTCACTGCAACCTCTGCCTCCCAGGTTCAAGTGATTCTCCCACCTCAGCCTCCCCAATAGCTGGGATTACAGGCACCCGCCACCACACCCAGCTAATTTTTTGTATTTTCAGTAGAGACAGGTTTCGCCATGTTGGCCAGGCTGGTCTCAAACTTCTGGCCTCAAGTGATCCACCCACTTCGGCCTCCCAAAGTGCTGGGATTACAGGCCTGAGCCACCGCACCCGGCCTCTCCCTAGACTTTTGAAGGAAGTTTGTAGTTTTGGGTTTTCTGGAGCTTCAGCTTCCTTCTAGCTTCTCTCTACCAAACTGCCCTTGCAACAAATCTATGGGCACCGTGTCTGTGTAAATTTGTGTGTTTCCTTTTTTCAATTCCCTATCTGCAGTTTGTACTTGTTGCTCCCTCAGTTAGTAACCGGGCAAACTTTTAAGCATAGGTCACTGAGTCACACCTAAACATCCGACAACTGACACTAGAATCCTCACTCCCTGCAAAACCCAGAAATCTTCAGCTAACTAAGACTGTGGTGCCATCTACTGATAATTTAGCTTAACATCGGCCAAGTGTGCTTCAGCTAAAACAGTAAAAGCAAAAACAAAACTGAAACTTAAACAGTTATGTATAAAGAGCAAAGATTCTCACCCACAATGTTACTACACACTGGTACCTTTTTTTTTTTTTTTTTTGAGACGGAGTCTCGCTGCATAGCCCAGGCTGGAGTGCAGTGGCACGATCTCAGCTCACTGCAACCTCTGCCTCCTGGGTTCAAGCGATTCTCCTGCCTCAGGCTCCTGAGTAGCTGGGACTACAGGCGCATGCCGCCAAGGCCGGCTGATTTTTTGTATTTTAGTACAGACGAGATTTCACCGTGTTGCCCAGGCTGGTTCCGAACTCCTGAGCTCAGGCAATCCGCCGGCCTCGGCCTCCCAAAGTGCTGGGATTACAGGCATGAGCCACCGCGACCGGCCTGGCACATTTCTTTAGTTGTAAGATATGATGGAAATACTTATCATTGGTCATAAATAGTTCAGGCTTAAAGCTTAAGAAAGATTTGGTATAATCTATAACACATTCTCTCTCAATCTTTCTCTCACACACACGTGCACACTCCACAACTAACCCACTAGCAAATCCAAAACACTGTCTATGCAGAATCTGACCACTTTTCACCACCTGCATTGCTTTCCTCTAATATAAATCACCATCATCTCTAGCCTGGATTATTGCTGATGGGAGGATAAATTCTCCTCTACTCCCTTGGGATCGTCTAAAGCTAAGTCTAAGAATTAAATGGACATAAACCAGATTAACAGAAAAGCATACAAGTGTTACTAATTTTTACTTGCACATGAAGACTCTCACAAGATGAAAGGGGCGACGACCTGAAGAAAATGGCCAGAACAGAAAGCTTTTATACCTTTTGGACAAAGAAATGATAAATTTATGAAGAAATGATAAGACAAAGGGATTTGGACTAGGGGCAGTAAATTGCGGGGGAATCACTAGGAGATATATGGTGATGAAGGGACCATACCACTGTCTGCGGTATAAACCCGGGGTTTGTCGTCAGGCGCCAGGAAAATTTAGGACACTGACACACACAAGGAGTGTAGGAGCAGAGGTTTAATAGGCAGAAGAGAAGGGAAAGAGAAACAGCTTTCTCTATAGAGAAATGGATCTGCGAGTGGAAAGGACCAGCCGGCAGTGGATGCGCCGAAGTTTATAGTCAGGTCTGAGGAGACGGTGTCTGATTTACATAGGGCTCATAGATTGGTTTGATCAGGTATGACGTTTACACTGTGCGCAGGGGAAGCCTGGTTACCCCACCCTAATCTTATTATGGAAATAGACTTTCTAGTTGATCAACACCATCTTGTCTGCTCCTTACAGTACACGTGGCTGACAAAGGGAAGGGAAGATGGAGCCTCCAATTTGAACATGTGTACTCCGAAGTTCCTCCCTGCGTTCACTCGTGCAAGCTCCCAGCTTGCTTGTCTGTGTCTGCAGCTCGGCTTTACAGAATGCTCTTTGTTAGAAAATGATTTGGGGCTGCTTTTCATGAAAAAGAAAAGCCTTACTGAGGATTCCCATACTCCTACTATCTGCCTAAGTGATTTCTTCTAAACTCCTGTATCAGTGAAGTGCAAAGCTAGTGAAAGGTAAGTGTTCGTTTAGTAAGTTTATCTGTATAGGTCCATTGTAGCATCAATTCCCAGTCTCTGGAGATAAGGGTTATTTTCTCTTTCTACTAAAGGAAGGCATCGGCCGGGCGCGGTGGCCCATGTCTGTAATCTCAGCACTTTGGGAGGCGGAGGCGGCTAGATCACACCTGAGGTCAGGAGTTCCAGACCAGCCTGGCCAACGTGGTAAAACCCCGTCTCTACTAAAAATACAAAAATTAGCCATGCGTGGTGGCACGCACCTGTAATCCCTGCTATTCGGGAGGCTGAGGCTAGAGAATTGCTTGAACCCGGGTTGCCTCACTGCAACCCGGGAGGTGGAGGTTGCAGTGAGCCGAGATTGCGCCACTGCACTCCAGCCTGGACGACAGAGCAAGACTCCGTCTCAAAAAAGAAAAAAAAAAAAAGGGAAGGCATCTTTCTCAAAGGAATTTTTATGGCTTCCTAAAGGTAGGAATGGACACGTCAGTGGGGAGGGCAAAGCAACTCCATCCTGGATGCTAATCCATGCTGGTTTCTGATTAACGCCAGTTCCAGGAAGTCTTGTAAGACTTCCAGTTTATCTATTGTTCCTTGTGTAAGAGCACGTACTGACTGTAAATCCTGCCCTTAGGTCAAGTGGCCTTGATGTTATCATACTTAAGTTGTTCTCCACGTCCCTTCTGAATCACTCCTCTCCTGGGGTATATAAGCCCTGGGTTTGAGGGGTAATGGTGCGGGGATCCACCATCTTGTCTCACTGCTTCCTGAGATACAGACATGGCTTCTGTTCTAAGTCCCTAGTAAACGTTTCTTCCTAAGAAACTGGATGTGTCAGCCTCTTTCTTCCACCTCTCAGCTTCCTTGGCCGCAGGTTTGCATAGACCCTGTCCACTGTGAAACAGTGAGCTAGCTCTTCCTGCAATGACAGTCTCTCAAGTACCTTCAGCTTGAAATAATCAGTATGCCAAACTGGCATATTTGGGGGTGGCACGTCCTTAACTCTTTCATTGCAAAGGTCTTTGAACTAACCTCCTTATCCCTCCTTGCTTCCTTTGGTCTCTTCTCAACAGAAAAGCCAGAGTGATTCTTTAAAAAAAAAAAAAAAGGTCAGGTCATTTCAATCTTCCACTCAAAACCCTCTTAGTGTTACTGGAAAGGGATCACGATTCAGATCCCAAGAGAGGGTTCTTGGATCTCACGCAAGAAAGAAATCAGGGCAAGTCCATAAAGTGAAAGCAAGTTTAAGAAAGTAAAGAAATAAAAGAATGGCTACTCCAAAGACAGAGCAGCCCCAAGGGTTGCTTGTTGCCCATTTTTTATGGTTATTTCTTGATGATATATGCTAAACAACGGGTGGATTATTTATGCCTCCCCTTTGAGACTATATAGGGTAACTTCCTGATGTTGCCACAGCATTTGTAAACTGTCATGGCACTGGTGGGAGTGTAGCAGTGAGGACGACTGGAGATCACTCTCGTTGCCATCTTGGTTTTGGTGGGTTTTGGTTGGCTTCCTTACTGCAACCTGTTTGATCAGCAAAGTCTTTACAGCGACCTCCTATCTCATTCTGTGACTAAGAATACCTTAACTTACTGGAAATGTAGCCCAGCAGGTTTCAGCCTCAGGTTAACCAGCCCCTATTCGAGATGGAGTTGCTCTGGTACAAAGGCCTCTGACAGCAGGGCTGAGTGCAGTGGCTCATGCCTGTAATCCCAGCACTTTGGGAGGCAGGTGGATCACTTGAGGCCAGGAGTTCGAGACCAACCTGGCCAATATGGCAAAACCCCACCTCTACTAAAAATACATAAATTAGCTGGGTGTGGTGGTACGTGCCTGTAATCCCAGCTACTCAGGGGGCTGAGGCAGGAGAATTGCTTGAACTTGGGAGGTGGAGGTTGCAGTAAGCTGAGATCATGCCATTGTACTTCGCTACGGAGAGAGATTCTGTCTCAAAAAAAAAAAAGAAAAGGAAAAGAACACACACATTTATCCATTAAGTTCACCATCTTTCATGGGTGCTCCAAAACAATTACAATAGAAACATCAAAGATCTATGATCACAGATCACCAGAACAGATAATCATATTAGGTTGGTGCAAAAGTAATTGTTGTTTTGGCCATTACTTTTAATATTAATGAAAAAAATTTAAATACTGTGAGGATTACCAAAATGTGACACAGAAACACGAAGTAAGCACACTCTGTTTGAAAAAAAAATGGCACCAATAGACTAGCCCGACACAGGGGTACCACAAACGTTCAATTTGTAAAATTCACAATATCTGTGAGGCACAATAAAGCCAAGCACAGTAAAAGGAGGGATGCCTGTGAGTGGAATCATATGCAGTCCTTTGTGACTGACTCTTTCATTGAGCATAATGTTTTCTTCATTCATGTTGTAGAATGAATAAGTACAGTCAGACCTCTGTATCTGTAGGTTTCACATCCGTAGATTCAACCAACCGCAGATTGAAAAAATTGGGGAAAAAAATTTGTATCTGTACTGAACAGCATGTATAGACTTTTTTTTCTTGTCATTATTTCCTAAAAATATAACAACTATCTCCAGCCTGGGCAACACGGTGAAACCCCGTCTCTACTAAAATACAAAACATTAGCCCGGCATGGTGGTGGGCGCCTGTAATCCCAGCTACTTGGGAGGCTGAGGCAGAGGTTGGCATGAGCCAATTGCACGCCACTGCACTCCAGCCTAGGTGACAAAGCGAGACTCCGTCTCCAAAAAAAATACAACTATTGGTCGGGCGTGGTGGCTCATGCCTGTAATCCCAGCACTTTGGGAGGCTGAGGCAGGCGGATCACAAGGTCAGGAGTTCAGGACCAGCCTGACCAACATGGTGAAACCCCGTCACAGGGCTGGGCGCGGTGGCTCACGCCTGTAATCCCAGCACTTTGGGAGGCCAAGGTGGGCAGATCACAAGGTCAGGAGATCGAGACCATCCTGGCTAACATGGTGAAACCCTGTCTCTACTAAAAATACAAAAACTTAGCCAGGCGTGGTGGTGGGCCCCTGTAGCCCCAGCTACCTGGGAGGCTGAGGCAGGAGAATGGCTAGAACCCGGGAGGCAGAGCTTGCAGTGAGCCGAGATTGCGCCACTGAACTCCAGCCTGGGAGACAGCGAGACTCCGTCTCAAAAAAAAAAAAAAAAAAAAAAAAGAAACCCATCTCTACTAAAAATATAAAAATTAGCTGGGCATGGTGGTCCATGCCTATAATCCCGGCTACTCAGGAGGCTGAGGCAGGAGAATCGCTTGAACCTGGGAGGCGGAGGTTGCAGTCAACTGAGATGGTGCCATTGCACTCCAGCCTGGGCAAAAGAGCGAGACTCCATCTCAAAAAAAAAAAAAAAAAAACTATTTACATCATATTCAACATTATAATCTACAGATGATTTAAAGTAATTATGCAAATACTACATCATTTTATATAAGGAACTCAAGCATCCATGGATTTTGATATCCTCAGGGGTCCTGAAACGAATCCCCTGTGGATACTGAAGGACAATTGTACTACATTCCTTTTGTGGCTAAATAATATTCCATTATGTGAATATTCAGTACTATATTGTGTTTCTCCATTCATCTGTGATAAACATTAAGGTGGTTTCCACTTTCTGGCTATTATGAATAATGCCACTATAAACATTAATGTACACATTTATGTGGAGACATATGCTTTCAATTCACTTGGGTATATACCTAGGAATGGAAGTGCTGGGTGATATAGTAACTCTATGCTCAAATTATTTAGGAATTGCCAGACTGTCTTCCAAAGTGACTGCACAATTTTACATTCTCACCAGCAATTTATGAAGGTTCCAATTTCTCCACATTCTTATCAACACTTGTTTTTTTTTTGTTTGTTTGTTTTCTTTGGTTTTGTTTTGAGATGGAGTCTCCCTCTGTCACCAAGGCTGGAGTGCAGTGGCGTGATCTTGGCTCACTGCAACCTTCGCCTCCCGGGTTCACGTGATTCTCCTGTCCCAGCTTCCCGAGTAGCTGGGATTACAGGCACCTGCCACCACACCTGGCTAATTTTTGTATTTTTAGTAGAGACGGGGTTTTGCCATGTTGGCCAGGCTGATCTCGAACTCCTGACCTCAGGTGATCCACCCGCCTCAGTCCCACAAAGTGCTGGGATTACACGCGCCCAGCCCCTAAATTACCTCTTTAAGCTTCAAAATAAGCATAGGATGTAGGTATACTATTATGACCTCTGTTTTAGAGGTAAAGAAGTGAAGTCACAGGAAGGTTCAGTAACTTGCCTGAGGGCTCATAAATAGCTGGCAGTAGAGTTGGGATGACACACATGTCGTCTGGTTCCAGAGCTGCACTTAAACACAGGACGTAGACTCGGTAATGAGAAAGAGGAAGCTATTTCAAGCACGAGCCAAAGGCAGGGATTTACAAGTTCATTGCAGAAAATAAACAGCCCAGTCTGACTACGAAGAGCACTCACCGGAGCCAGGTTGCGGGAGATGAAATGAGGATAGGGTGAGGCAGGCTGGTGGAGGGCCTGGACTGTGAGGCTTAGAGGCTTGGATTCCATTAAGAATATTAATTGGGAGTCATGGTTGGTTGGTGTGTGGTCAAGGGAACAATAAAACAAAAACAGCAGCTCAGTGGCTGTCGACATGTTAATGGCCTTTGAAAATAAAGTATACAAACAATGAGTGGCAGGAAGGCGAAAAGAAAGCTTTCTCATCACCAAGCTCAAACTACTCTGCATTATAATTACACAATATAAAAAGATGGAGGATCATGCCTGTAATCTCAGCACAAGATCCTTAGGGAGGCTAAGGTGTGAGGACTGTTTGAAGCCAGGAGTTTGAAACCAGCCTGGGCAACATAGCGAGGCTTTGTGACAAAAAATACGAAAATTCCAGCCTGGGCAACATAATGAAACCTGGTCTCTACAAAAATTGTAAGAACTAGCTGAGCATGGTGGTGCACACCTGTCATCCCAGCTACTCAGGAGGCTGAGGCAGGAGGATCACCTGAGCCCAGGAGGTTGATGCTGCAGTAGCCATGTTCAAGCCACTGCACTTTAGCTTGAAGGACAGAGCAAGATGCTGTCTCTAAGAAACAAAACGAAACAAAAAAAGGCTGGGCGAAGTGGCTCACGCCTGTAATCCCAGCACTTTGGGAGGACAGGGTGGGCAGACCACGTGACATCAGGAGGTCAAGACCAGCCTGGCCAACATGGTGAAACCCCATCTCTACTAAAAATACAAAAATGAGCTGGGCGTGGTGTCATGTGCCTGTAATCCCAGCTACTTTGGAGGCAGAGATTTGAAAATTATTTGAACCCGGGAGGTGGAGGCTGCAGTGAGCCAAGATCATGCCACTGCACTCCAGCCTGGGCGACATTGCAAGACCCTCTCTAAAACACAACAAAACAAAACAAAACAAAACAAAAGATGGAAAGATTGTAAGTTATCCTTACCAAACTTCTCTGTCCCCTTCAGACACATTTAGATGTTCACATCTATAATTAGCCATTGTCAATGGTAATGAGATTCTAACAACCGCGTATCGCCTGTGTGCAATGTGCTGTGTACAAAGTTTTTAATCTCCACAGCAACCAGTTCAGAAGAGGAAGCTGATGCTTGGGCGGGTAGGGGGAATGTTATGTCTCTTTCCTTTTCTCTGGAAAAAAACAACAACTTTCATGTCATCCAGGCTCTCTCTCATCAAACATGAATCTTCTCTACAGCATCTGAAGGCCTCTAGGATTCTTCCTATTAAGTCACATCTGCCTCTGAGCAGGGGGACAAGGCAGCGTTGCACAAAGCCTGTCTCCACCTCTCTTAGCCCACAGTGACCCCAGGAGCTAAAAGAACATCAGAGAAAAACATCACTAATATCTCAAAGATACTGAGTGCTGCTTAGAGTTGCAGTGGCAAAAATTTTTATCCATGTAAAAATGTAGTCCAGGAAAGATTAGTTTGTCTTCCCCTGCTGGACTCCAGCCTATTTCTACCTAATTATTTTTTCATGTGCCAAAAGTACAGGTAGGGAATTCAGGGGGAAGTAAAATAGTGTTTATTGAGTGCAACTCTATGGCAGGCTCTTTATTCACATGATCTCATTTAATTCCCTTAACAATCTTGTAAGGTAAAAATTGTTATTCCCGGTGTTAATGCAATATATGGACACTGAGGCCAAACAGCTTAAGTAACTGGCTGAATGCACAAAGGCCTGGAAGTGGCAGAACTTGGACTCCCATCCAAGTTCTAAAGACTTCCTTCTATGTCCCTTGCACTCTCTGATCGCCCACATTCTCTTTCCCAGCAGTCTCTAGTTACCAAAATTGCTCTCCTTAAAAAAAAAAAAAAAAAAAAAAAAGGCCAGCCACAGTGGCTCACGCCTGTAGTCCAGCACTTCGGGATCCTAAGGCAAGAGGATCACTTGAGCCCAGGAGTTTGAGACCAGCCTGGGCCACATAGGGTGACCCTATCTCTATTAAAAAGAAAGAAAATTAGCCAGGTGTGGTGGCACACACTTGTGGTCCCAGCTACTCAAGAGGCTGAGGTGAAAGAATCACCTGATTACCTGAGGATCACTTGTGGTTCCAGCTACTTGGGAGGTCGAGGCTGCGGTGAGCCAAGATCATGTCACTGCACTCCAGCCTGGGCAACAGAAAGAGATCCTGTCTCAAAAAAAAAATTGCTCTCCCTCGACAGCCTGCTTAGACGGCACCTGGCTTCAACAAATAATGCCTTGAACATTAGTAGCAGTGCTGGGGAGGAAATGAGCTGAACCCAATACACTGGAGATGGTGGCCAGGGGGCCTCTCACAATTCCTGCTCCCACCTCATCCTGTAGCAAAAGAAGCACTTTCTTCCACTTCCTTATTGGTTCTGTGAGGGTTAATTCTATGTGTCAGCTTGACTGGGTTGCAATGTGTTCAGACAGTTAGTCAAACATTCCTCTGGGTGTTCCTCTGAGGGTATTTCTGAAAGAGATGAACATTTGAGCCCGGGCGTGGTGTCTCACGCCTGTAATCCGAACACTTTGGGAGGCTGAAGGAGGTGGATCACCTGGGGTCAGGAGTTTGAGAACAGCCTGGCCAACATGATGAAACCCCATCTCTACTAAAAATACAAAAAATTAACCGGGCGTGGTCGACAGTGTCCCCTGGCACCGCTGTATGTGCAGCAACAGATAGGTAAAATCTAAGGTTTTAGGACAGATGTGTGAAGGCTGCTGGTGAATGGATGGGACCAGGACAAAGAGGGTACCTCAAGTACAAGGTGCTCTTTGATCAAGCCAAGGACCATTACGGGTTGCAGGGTTGTTTCCCTCCCGGTCAGCCCTGACAGCTAAAGGGACATCATTTATGCCAGTGCTCCAAGCCACCCTTCAGCTCTTTTGGTTAAACCAACATGTATGGCTCTGGGCTGGGCATGGTGGTGCACGCCTATAATCTCAGCAGTTTGGGAAGCCGAGGCGGGAGGATTGCTTGAGCCCAGGAGTTTGAGGCTAGCCTGGGCAACATAGCGAAACCCCAACTCTACAAAAAAATACAAAAATTAGCCGGGTGTGGTGGAGTGCACCTGTAATCCCACCTACTTGGGGGCTGAGGTGTGAGGCTCACTTGGGCTTGGGCAGATGAATGTGCAGTGAGCTGTGATCATGCCACTGCACTCCAGGCTGGGTGACAGAGGGAGACCCTGTCTCAAAAAAAAAAAAAAAAAAATGTATGGCTCTGGCATTTTTCACGTTTGCTGAAGCATGTTCCTTGGGGGCATAATGAGAACACAGGAACCTTGTCTATAATGCATAATGACCATCGGAGGAAAGAATCCCCAGCTAGCTCCATTGTCAGCAACTATCAAGAACCTGCTAGGGGGCCAGGTGCGGTGTCTCATGCCTGTAATCTCAGCACTTTGGGAGGCCGACGCAGGCGGATCACTTGAGGTCAGGAGTTCGAAACCAGCCTGGCCAACATGATGAAACTCCGTCTCTACTAGAAAAAATATAAAAATTGTCCAGGTGCGGTGGCTCACGCTTATAATCCCAGCACTTTGGGAGGCCGAGGTGGATGGATCACTTGAGGTCAGCAGTTCAAGACCAGGCTGGCCAAAATGGTGAAACCCTGTCTCTACTAAAAATACAAAAATTAGCTGGGCGTGGTGGCATGCCCCTGTAATCCCAGCTACATGGGAGGCTGAGGCAGGAGAATCGCTTGAACCCAGGAGGCAGAGTTTACAGTGAGCTGAGATCGCACCACTGCACTCCAGCCTGGGTGACAGAACAAGAGTCCGTCTCAAACAAACAAAAACGAAAAACAAAAATTAGCCCTGTGTGGTGGTGTGTGCCTGTAGTCCCAGCTACTCAGGAGGCTGAGGCAGGAGAATTGCTTGAACCCGGGAGGCAGAGGTTGCAGTGAGCTGAGATCACGCCACTGCACTCCAGCCTGGGCAACAGAGTGAGACTCCATCTCAGAAAAAAAAAAAAAAATTTGTGGGAGAAACAAAAATGAATAAGACTTCGGTCCTACCTTCATGGAGTTTTAATATGAATCTGAGTAGTTTCAAAATATGCCTAATGAGACTCAAAATAATCCATATGTCACAGAATGAATTCTGTTAAAGGGCAGAACAGAGTGGCTCTAAAGTCAATCTGTTCCACCACTTACTAGCTCTGTGAGCTTGATTAAGTGCCGTAACCTCTCTGTGCTTCGGTGAATTTGTCTATAAGATGAGAGAACAAGGCCGGGCACGGTGGCTCACACCTGTAATCCCAGCACTTTGGGAGGCCGAGGTGGGTGTATTGCTTGAGCTCAAGAGTTTGAGACCAGCCTGGGCAACATGGCGACACCCCATCTCTACTAAAAGTACAAAACAAAATAAAATTGAAAAATGAGAGAACAAGAAGTACCTACTTCATAGGTTGTGGTGAGGATTAAATGAGTCAATGCCTATAAACTTCTTAAAGCAAGGCCTGGAACATAGAAAATGTTCTATTAATATTAATAATAATTATTATTTAAACTATCAACAAATATTGTGTCTCTGCATGAGACGTAACAACCAAGAGTTTTATAAAGGTGGCACAAGGATACCTCATCTCTTGGTTATTTTGGGAGTCGGAAACATTGTAATGGAGACACTTAGTTTCCAGGCTCTCAAACAAAAGGTTCTCTAAGCCGTGTTATCACTTGAGAGTTGCATGTTTTCAGTTTAAAGACAAATTTAAGACCATTCTATTGTAATAACCGAAAATTAAATGGCACACTGATAAAAAGAGAACCAGCAGCGTTTTATTTACCTTGAAAGGTGGTAATTTAAGAAAAACAGGGGAGATTTTAACAGGATGAAGAGGAATATAAAAATTTGTGACAAGATGAAAAGAAATATCGGGGTACTTGAAAGGTTTTAGAGGTTGAGACTCAAGTATTTTTTTTAGAAAGTCTTATTTCACCCTGGGACTTACATGACTTTTTTTCCCCAGCCATTACTAGAAGGGGTTTTGCACCTCCACACGGTATTAAAAGCGACAGAAGAGGACAAAAGGAAGATATGTATACAGGAGGGAGAAATAAATTATGTGCAATGGAATTAACTCAGCTTTAAGAAATAAGGGCAGGATGGAGAGTCTTCAAAAGGAAATATAAAATATTCCCAGCAGTCCGGGACCTCTATACCTTCAATGATCGTGTTACCGGAAAAGGGATCTCTATCCAGACCCCAAGAGAACGTTCTTGGATCTCGAGCAGGAGGGACTTCAAAACGAGTCACAGAGTGCAGTGAAAGAAGCAACGTTATTAGAAACTACACTGTTAGAGTAGGGCATCCTCAGAAAGCAAGAGGAGGAACGCCTCGACTTTGTTTTTTGTTTTTCTTCTCTAGAGATCTTGTCTATATAAAGGCTAAGCTAAGCTGTGTCCACGTGTGGGTGAGCAGACAGCATGACAGAATGTATGACTACTGATTTAAAGAAAACTGGCCTTGACATTCTAGTGTGTGGATACATCAAAGCAAAACTATTATTATCTTGAAAACAGAGATTGTTATGGGTATTGGACATCTGGACTCTTGGCTGTAGTAGGAGTGTGTCCTTGTAGGTATCTTTAGGCTGTTTCTTCCACTGTAAACAGCCCATGAATGTGGGTCGTGACCAGCAGAGAATGGGCTTTACTATTTCTCAAGATGGAGCTGAACTTAAAATGGTGCTACTCTGGCCCTCCTAGGCTCCTGGTTCCCTAACATTACCCCCACTAATTTTGAGGGAACCCTTAATCTTTTTGTTTTGTTTTGTTTTTTTGAGACAGGGTCTCGCTCTGCCACCCAGGCTAGAGTGTGGTGGTGCGATCTTGGCTCACTGCAGCCTCTGCTTCCCGGGCTCAAGTGATTCTCGTGCCTCATCCTCCCAAGTATCTGGGATTACAAGCATGCGCCACTATGCCCAGCTAAGAGAGCCCTTAATTTTAAGAGGAGAGGAGGGTGAAGGTCATTCTTCTGTAACTTCTTCCTGCTGATAGTGGACATCGATTGCTGGGACAGGGTCCTTTCACGAAAGCATGCAGTGAGCCTCCTCAGGGAGCCAGGTGGTTCCTTGCTTGAGCAATGTCCCAATAGTTCCTATAAAGGTAAAATATGAAATGAGTAAATAGATGGGCAAAGAAGTTGCTGAGCTATTTTATCTTGCAAACCTACACAAGTGCAACAGAAGTAAAAAGCACAGCAATTTATAATAACGAGTATTACAATACCAAGCATGCTGAAAAGAAATGCTTTCCAAGTACTGGATAGCTAACAAACCAGGCCATTATGGGGCCTTGAGACAGAGAATTAATGCTGTAATGTGAGTTTCCAAGGAACTCATAGCCTGGGATACATTATGGGAATACTCAGGAATATAAATACAACATTCAGTTTTGATCAGGGCAAAAATTCCCCCTTGGGCTGCAGTTAAAATGTCTAAAGCCATACAGTTTTGTAGAGCCATTTGTCTTATTTGGTAAGTCTCTTCTGTCAGAAGGGTGATAGCCTGGTAAGTATTTTTTTTTTTTTGAGACGGAGTCTCGCTCTGTTCCCCAGGCTGGAGTGCAGTGGTGTGGTCTCAGCCCACTGCAAGCTCTGCCTCCCAGGTTCACACCATTCTCCTGCCTCAGCCTCCCGAGTAGCTGGGACTACAGGCGCCCGCCACCATGCCTGGCTAATTTTTTGTATTTTTAGTAGAGACGGGGTTTCACCATGTTAGCCAGGATGGTCTTGATCTCCTGACCTCGTGATCCGCCCACCTCGGCCTCCCAAAGTGCTGGGATTACAGGCGTGAGCCACCGCTGCTGGCCCTGATGAGTATTATTGAAAGCTACAGTGGGCTGAGCCTGGTGGCTCACACCTATAATCCCAGCACTTTGGGAGGTTGAGGCAGGTGGATCACTTGAGTTCAGGAGTTAGAGACCAGCCTGGCCAACGTGGTGAAAACCTGTCTCTACTAAAAAAACAAAAATTGGCTAGGTGTGGTGGCGCACGCTTGTTGTTCCAGCGACTCAGGAGGCTAAGGCTAACCTGGGAGGTGGAGTTTGCAGTGAGCCGAGATGGCACCACTGCTTTTCAACCTGGGTGACAGAGCGAGACTCCCTCTCAAAAATAAATAAATAAAAGCTGCAGCTGTGTGTTTTGCCAGGGCTTCTACTTGTAATTCAACATCTATAGCCACTGCTTGAGGAGAGAAGACAGCCATAGAATAAAATCACCAAGAAGCCCACTTTTTCTGTCTATGACGGGCTGTCACTGTTTCCCAATTGGTGGGGAGGGAATCTAGATGTGTAAGGACACCTGGGAGATAAGGACAGTCTCAAGTGTATTGTCCAGTCCAACTGTAAGGTGGATATGGTCAACTGTGAGACTCACATGCTCATAACCATCCCCAAGGAGAGGAATGGGCACCCAATCTTAGAGATGTATTTTGCTGTCCTATCCACATCTGATCAGTTAAGGGGAGGGTTTGATTGCGTTGGTTGGGTGGCAGCCATCCATGTTATATATTTCAGCCTGGAGGCTGCTGTTTTCATGCCTCTCAAGGCATAAAGGTACTTTGCTTACTACTTGAATTTGGGTAGCCATTAACCAACTAAACTCATTATATATGGTGTAGCCTAAAGTAGGGATGTTATTGGGAGGCCAAGGCAGGTGGATCACCTGAGGTCGGGAGTTTGAGACAAGCCGGACCAACATGGAGAAACCCCGTCTCTACTAAAAATACAAAATTACCCAGGCGTGGTGGCACATGCCTGTAATCCCAGCTACTCAGGAGGCTGAGGCAGGAGAATCACTTGAACCGGGGAGGCAGAGGTTGCAGTGAGCCGAGATCACGCCACTGTACTCCAGCCTGGGCAACAAGAGCGAAACTCCATCTCAAAAAAAAAAAAAAAGTAGGGATGTTAATCATTTGTTTGTGGATTAACTGAAAAAGGCATTTCTTAGCTTCAGTGTAGAAAGAAAAGGAATAGTGACTGGTATCCCTTTGGTGCATTGGAGAAGGAAGATACTCATTTCTTTTTTGTGTGTGTGGTTTTTTTTTTTTGGAGACGGAGTCTGTCTCTGTCCCCCAGACTGGGGTGCAGTGGCGCGTAATCTCGGCTCACTTCAAATTCCACCTCCCGGGTTCAAGGGATTCTCCTGCCTCAGCATTCCGAGTAGCTGGGATTACAGGCACGTGCCATCACGCCCGGCTAATTTTTGTATTTTTAGTAGAGACGGGGTTTCCTCATGTTGGTAAGGCTGGTCTCAAACGCCTGGCCTCATGATCCGCCTGCCTCAGCCTCTCAAAGTGCTGGGATTACAGGCATGAGCCACCGCGCCCAGCTAAGGTGTGTTATTTCTTACAGACTACTTATAGAAGTGGCTCCAAAGGCTTAAATCAGCCTATTGAATATGCCAAAATAAGCCTGAGGTCGATGAAAGAGGTAACTCATGGCTTACCGAACAATTTGGTTTTGCAGGGGGAGAGAGTTTGTGCCCAATCTGCAAACAAATTAGTTTCAACTCTATAGCAAAACAAGCTTAATATTAAGGCCGGGCGTGGTGGCTCACGCCTGTAATCCCAGCACTTTGGGAGGCCGAGACGGGCAGATCACGAGGTCAGCAGATCGAGACCATCCTGGCTAACATGGTGAAACCCCGTCTCTACTAAAAATACAAAAAAAAAAAAAAAAAAAATTAGCCGGGTGTGGTGGCAGGCGCCTGTAGTCCCAGCTACTCGGGAGACTGAGGCAGGAGAATGGCGTGAACCCGGGAGGCGGAGCTTGCAGTGAGCTAAGATTGCGCCGCTGCACTCCAGCCTCGGCGACAGAGAGAGACTCCGTCTCAAAAAACGAAAAACAAAAAAAAAAACAGTAACTTCATTTTGTGAGTGGTACCCATTCACTGGATGGCTTTTTCTTGAAAAGAAGCTTTTTTTTTTTTTTTTTTTTTTTAAGATGGAGTCTCACTCCTGTTTCCTAGGCTGGAGTGCAGTGGTGCGATCTCAGCTCACTGCAACCTCCGCCTCCCAGGTTCAAGTGATTCTCCTGCCTCAGCTTCCTGAGTAGCTGGGATTACAGGCGCCCGCCACCACACCTGGCTAATTTTTGTATTTTTAGTAGAGACAGGGTTTCACCATGTTGGCCAGGTTGGTCTCTAATTCCTAACCTCAGGTGATCCGCCCCCTTCGGCCTCCCAAAGTGCTGGGATTACAGGTGTGAGCCACTGCGCCTGGCCTGAAGAGAAGCTGTTGATCCTTTATTGGCTCACAGGAGTGTTCCAGAACAGCGGCCCCTGTGTGAGATGCCTGTGGCATGTAGCTCCAGGAGAGACAGGTTTAATTCCGGATAAGTGTACCCAACTGCATACTGATATTCACAAAGTGCCTTTTGTACCTGTCGAAAATTAATATATTTTTGCAATTGGTGGCTGTTTTCATGTATTAGAAAATCTGCAGTCAAGAAAGGCCTGCTGCCCCGGCACAGTGGCTCACGCCTGTAATCCTAGCACTCTGGGAGGCTGAGATGGGTGGATCACCTGAGGTCAGAAGTTCAAGACCAGCCTGGCCAACATAGTGAAACCCTGTCTCTACTAAAAATACAAAAATTAGCTGGGCATGGTGGCACAGGCCTGTAGTCCCAGCTATTCAGGAGGCTGAGGCAGGAGAATCACTTGAACCTGAGAGGCAGAGGTTGCAGTGAGCCGAGATTGCACCACTGAGCTCCAGCTGGGGCGACAGAGTGAGACTCTGTCTAAGAAAAAAAAAAAAGGAAGAGAAGAAAGAAAGAAAGAAAGAGAAAGAAAAAAGAAAGAGAGGAAGGAGGGAGGGAAGGAAAGAAATATTTGAAAATTGTGAAATGAAATTAAACATTTGATTATCCATTTTAATTCTCTGGAAATGGAAATCCCCATAACATGTAAACTCACATAGAGTATATAAATCCAACTTTTTCACTTGATTTTCAGAAATACTGTGCATATGTGCAAAAGTAAAGGCATGGTCTGGCCGGGCACGGTGGCCCATGCCTGTAATCCCAGCACTTTGGGAGGCAGAGGCGGGTGGATCACTTGAAGTCTGGAGTTCAAGACCAGCCTGGCCAATATGGTGAAACCTCGTCTCTACCAAAAATACAAAAATTAGCCGGGCTTGATGGTGGGCGCCTGTAGTCCTACCTACTCCGGAGGCTGAGGCAGGAGAATTGCTTGAACCTCGGAGACGGAGGTTGCAGTGAGCCGAAATCGCCACTGCACTCCAGCCTGGGCGACAGAGCAAGACTCTGTCTCAACCAGCCAACCAACCAACCAACTAACCAACCAACCAACCAACCAACCAAAGAATAAAGGCATGGCTGGCACAAAGCCAGGAAGCACGCCTGGCCGGGTGGCTCCCCACATTGGCCACCAGGGGGCACCATCATCTCATAACTGTCTGGCTCTGGGACCTACACATGCGAGAGAGGAATTTTTTAGTGCGGTTTGAGAAGGAATAAGCAACCTGCTGTTTAATGTGTTCATTCAATGGGTCTTTTACAAATTGCTATTTGTAACCTAGAGCGTGCCAGTTATTTAGGATATAATTAGGTTTTTGCTGTTTCACTAACATACCTCACATACCTCGTATAAATGCTTTTTTTTTTTTTAACACACCTCTATACTAAAGAGGAAAATGCTTTTAAATGTAATCTTGAGGTTAATTGACTCTCACTTCTCCTTTCTCTGAAGGGCCTGCAGAACTCTTTCAGTTCTGACGTGGCCCCAGTAGTTTTTTGGTTTTATTTTTTTGAGATAGGGACTCTCTCACCCAGGCTGGGGTACAGTGGCACGATCATAGCTCACTGCAGCCTCTGCCTCCCAGGCTCAAGTGATCCTCCCTCCTCAGCCTCTTGAGTAGCTGGGGCTAAAGGCATGCGCCATCACGCCCAGCTAAGCTTTGTTTGTTTGTTTTTTGTTTGTTTGTTTGTTTGTTTGTTTTAGAGACAGGGTTTCACTATGTAGCCCAGGCTGATCTTGAACTTCTGAGCTCAAGCAATCGGTCCACCTTGGCCTCTCGAAGTGCTGGGATTACAGGCGTGAGCCACCTGGTCGTTTTTTGTTTTTTTTTTTTTTGAGATAGAGTCTCACCCTGTCGCCCAGGCTGGGGTGCAATGGTGAGATCTCGTCTGACTACAATCTCTACCTACTGGGTTCAAATGATTCTCCTGCCTCAGCCTCCCGAGTAGCTGGGATTACAGGTGCCTGCCACCATGCCCAGCTATTTTTTTTGTATTTTTAGTACAGACGGGGTTTCACCATGTTGGCCAGGCTGGTCTTGAACTCCTGACCTCGTGATCCGCCCGCCTCAGCCTCCCAAAGTGCTGGGATTACGGCGTGAGCCACCACGCCTGGTTACCACCTAGTAGTTTTTATCTGGTGACATCTCATCTCTTTGAAATCTGAAACACCAAATCTAAGTAAGAATCTGACTTTAGATTTTGATGTCTTTAAATTAGATAAACTAGCTGGACGCGGTAGTTCAAGCCTATGATCGCAGCACTTTGGGAGGCCAAAGTGAGAGGATCGCTTGAGTCCAGGAGTTCAAGACCAGCATGGGCAACATGACAAAACCCCTCTCAATAAATAAAATAAAAATAAAAGAATACAAATAAATAACTAAATTAGGTAAACTGTTGCACTTAATATTTATCTGAGCCAGTGGTGTTTATGTCAAGATGGGGTCAGATTCTAGACTAAATCAAACTCTCAGACAAGAAAATGGCCTCTTGCCCTGTCATGCTCTCTGTCATGTTATGCTGCGGTAAGAAGGCCCTCACCAGATGCAGCCCAACAGCTGTGGACTTTCAAACCTCCAGAACTGTAAGAAATACGTTTATTTTTAAAATAAATTTAAAAGGCTGGGCATGGTGGCTCATGCCTGTAATCCCAGCACTTTGGGAGGCCGAGGTGGGTGGATCACCTGAGGTTAGGAGTTTGAGACCAGCCTGGCCAACATGGTGAAGCCCCATCTCTACTAAAAATACAAAAATCAGCCAGGCGGGGTGGCACGAAGCCTGTAATCCCAGCTACTCGGGAGGCTGAGGCAGGAGAATCGCTTGAACCTGGGAGGCAGAGGTTGAAGTGAGCCAAGATTGTGCCGTTGCACTCCAGCCTAGGCGACAGCAAGACTTTGTTTTTTTGTTTTTTGTTTTTCAAAAAAAGAAAGAAAGAAATCTCCAGCATGGGGAACATTATGAAACCCTGTCTACAAAAACTGCAGGAAAAAAAAAATCACTGAACATGGTAGTGGGCACCTGTAGTCCCAGCTACTCGGGAGGCACAAGAGGATCATTTGAGCCAGGAAGGCAGAGGTTGCAGTGAGCTAAGATTGCACCATTGCACTCCAGCCTGGGCAACAGAGTGAGACCCACCCTGTCTCCAAAAAAAGAAAGGAAAAGAAAGGAAAGGAAAAGGAAAAAGAAAAAAAAAGGAAAGCAAAGGAAAGGAATCTCATGTCAAATAATCATAGTAGAAGTTAAAGTACATAACAATGGCATCTATTTTCATTGCCATGTTACTGCAGAGAGTAGTTTTTGGTGGTCATTGCATTTTTTTTTTTTTTGAGACATGGTCTCACTCTGTCACCCAAGCTGGAGTGTAGTGGCGTGATCTCTGCTCCCTATGGTCTCCACCTCCCTCCCACTTCAGCCTCCAAAGTAACTGGCATTATAGGCGCACATCAGCATGCCTAGCTAATTTTTGTATTTTTTGTAGAGATGGGGTTTTGCCATGTTGCCCAGGCTGGTCTGGAACTCCTGAGCTCAAGCAATCTGCTGGTCTTGGCCTCCTAAAGTGCTGAAGTGCTGGGATTACAGGTGTGAGCCACCACACCCGGCCTGATTATTGTCTTTAGTCTGCTGTAGTCATACTACGTAGAATTGAGTTTCCACTTCATATATTTATTATGCATTCATGTGACCAAAGAAGTTCCAGATATGTGCTGCTATCATTATTTCATCTGGGCCACAGTCTTGAATTGTTACATAGCACATTGTTACATGCCTCTAGAAATAATAAAAGAATGTTACAACAAAAATAAACTTTTTGTTTTCTTTTTATTGAGACAGAGTCTCGCTCTGTCGTGAAGGCTGCAGTGCAGTGGCGTGATCTCGGCTCACTGCCAAACTCTGCCGCCCAGGTTCAAGCAATTCTCATGCCTCAGCCTCCCAAGTAGCTGGGATTACAGGTGCCTGCCACCATGCCTGACTAATTTTTTTGTATTTTTAATAGAGACGGAGTTTCACCATGTTGGCCAGGCTGTTCTCGAACTCCTGATCTCAGGTGATCCACCTGCCTTGGCCTCCCAAAGTGCTGGGATTACAGGCGTGAGCCACCGTGCCCGGCCAAAAATAAACTTTTAAAGTTAAAATTAACAAGGAAGAATAAATTCTCGCATCCCATTGCACAGTAGGGTGGCTGTAGCCAACAATAAGGTATTGTATATCTCAAAATAGCTAGAGGAGAGGATTTTGTATGTTCCCACCACAAAAAAAAATTAATCTTTGAGGTGGTGAGTGTACTAGTTACCCTGATTTTGTCATTACGCAATATATACATGTATCAAAACATCACATTGTACCCTATAAATATGTACAATTATTACATTTGAATTAAAAATAAAAATTTTTAAAAACCACTGTACTACTTGCTATGGACTGAATTGTGTTCCTTCAAAATTTCTCTGTTGAAGCCCTAATCTCCGGTGTGATGGTATGTGTTTTTGATTTTGTTTTGAGATGGAATTTTGCTCTGTTGCCCAGGCTGGAGTGCAGTGGCACGATCTTGGCTCACTGCAGCCTCCACCTCCCAGGTTCAAGCAATTCTCCTACCTCAGCCTCCTGAGTAGCTGGGATTACAGGCGCCTGCCACCATGCCTGGCTAATTTTCGTGTTTTTAATAGAGATGGGGTTTCACCATGCTGGCCAGGCTGGTCTCAAACTCCTGACCTCAAGTGATCTGCCCTCCTTGGCCTCCCAAAGTGCTAGGATTACAGGTCTGAACAGCCACGCCCGGCCTCTTTTTTTTCGACTTTAAAGTTCTGGGGTACATGTGCAGGATGTGCAGGTTTGTTACATAGGTAAATGTGTGCCATGTTGCTTTCCTGCACAGATCATCCCATCACCTAGGTATGAAGCCCAGCATCCATTAGCTATTCTCCCTGATGCGCTCCCTCCTCCCATCCCCCGACAGGCCCCAGTGTGTTGTTTCCCCCATGTGTCCATGTGTTCTCATCGTACAGCTCTCGCTTATAATCGAGAATATACGGTGTTTGGTTTTCTGTTCCTGTGTTAGTTTGCTGAGGATAACAGCTTCCAACTCCATCCATGTCCCTGCAAAGGACACAATCTCGTTCCTTTTTTTTTTTTTACCTCTTTTTTTAGAGAAAGAGTCTTGCTTTGTCTCCCAGGCTGGAGGGCAGTGGTGCAATCATAGCTCATGGCAGCCTCGACTTCCTGGACTCAAGCTATCCTCCTACCTCAGCCACCTGAAGAAAATAATTAGCTGTCTGGACAATTTTATCCTTTACCTCCAAGGCCTAAACAATACAGAAGTAAACTTTGGCAAGAAGAGCTTTGGTGGAGATGCTTCTGTAGTTCCTTTTCCCATTCAGAACCTAATGGTAGGATCAGGGTCTCTGCTGACCCGTCCCTGCCACTTTCAGGTGTACGTAAAGCCACAGGGACCTACAATGCCTGGGCTTGAGCTTTCCCAGCTGGGAAACTGAGGTGAAGAGGACTAACTTAGAGAGGTCTTTTCAGTATGGTAAAACATTAGCCCAAAGGAGATAATGCCTTCTCTGTAGAATGGGAGTTGCAGTGGAGGAGTTGGGAGAGTAAAGAAGAAAGAAGGCTGGGTGTGGTGGCTCACACCTATAATCTCAGCAGTTTGGGAGGCCGAGGCAGGTGGATCACCTGAGGTCAGGAGTTTGAGACCAGCCTGACCAACATGGTGAAACCCCATGTCTACTAAATACAAAAAACTAGCCGGGCGTGGTGGCACATGCCTGTAGTCCCAGCTACTCGGGAGGCTGAGGTAGGAGAATCTTGAACCCGGGAGGCAGAGGTTGCAGTGAGCTGAGATGGCGCCACTGCACTCCAGTGTGGGCGACAGAGTGAGGCTCCGTCTCAAAAAAAAAAAAAAAAAGAAGAAGAAGAAATGCTGGGCAGAAAAGAGGAAGCAATCCCAGGAGTGGCCTTTCCCGAACCAGCTGAAGTCAGAGCACCCTCCATTACGGGATGTATCCACGGGGAGACGCATGGGAAAGCATTGCGTTCAGGTGCGCAGATGGGGCCAAGCTTGTGTTGAAGCTCACCAGTCCCTTAGTTCATCTGCAGCGAGAGTCAGCTTTATGATTTGGGTTTACACACCCTAGGGAAGTGTGGTCTAGGTAAGAGGCCATTAGGAGGGGCTTATAGTAGGATTTGAGTTTATGTTAGATGACTTGGGGAAGGGCTGAGCCGAGCGAGGCCTGCTCTGGACTGGGTGCAGTCAGATAGTGTGGGCAATTTGGTGATTGAGTATCTTAATGATTTTTATTTAGAAAGTGGCAGGAACCAAGCCCCACTCAAAACCTCATTGATAAAGAAGCCTCAGCTGCTTATAGTAGCCAGGAAAGGGAGGTGTTTGGTCGCTTCTGTAGTTTACACAGTACGTGCACTTGTTTCTGTCTGTGCTGAGGGCATGGGCATGATTACACACTGGTCTCTTCTTTGTTTCACTCCATTGTGTTACGCATTGCTTTGCTGTGAAATGGTCTGTTTGGCAGGTGCACATTGTGGGGGAGAAAACATATTTTTTCCTTTTCTTTTTTAGGTTTTTAGTTGAGATACTCTCCTGAAAACAAAAGTTAGATTAACAAAAAAAAAAAAAAAGCAGAAATTTATTAATGCATGCAGTACCCATCACACGGGAGAGGCCTCAGTTCAAAAGTATTTCTCTCTCAAGGCAGTGGCTTAGGGGCTTTGCTTAAATCATAGTTTAACAAAGAGCCATAAATCCTACATAGTGACAAGATGAAAGAGAGAGCAGTTCCAGTCTTTTCAAAGGCGGAAAAATATGGTGTGATGGTTAATACTGAGTGTCAACTTGCTTGGATTGAAGGATACAAAGTATTGATCCTGGGTGTGTCCGTGTAGGTGTTGCCAAAAGAGATTAACATTTGAGTCTGGGCTGGGGAAGGCAGATCCACCCTTAATCTAGTGGGCACAATCTAATCAGCTGCCAATGAATATAAAGCAGGCAGAAACCATGAAGAGGTGTGACAGGCCTGGCCTCCCAGCCTACATCTTTCTTCCGTGCTGGATGCTTCCTGCCTTTGAACATCAGACTCCAAGTTCTTCATTTTTGGGACTTGGACTGGCTCTCCTTGCTCCTCAGCTTGCAGACAGCCTATTGTGGGAGTTTGTGACTGTGTAACTTAATACTTAATAAACTTCCCTTTATCTCTATCTATCCATGTATCTATGTATCTATCTACGTATGTATGTATGTATGTATGCATCTATCTATCTATCTATCTATCTATCTATCTATCTATCTATCTATCTATCTATCTCTTTCCTATTAGTTCTGTCCCTCTAAGAGAATCCTGACTAATACATGTGGGAAGAGAGTAAAATCTGTTCCCAGTTTCCGCTGGTGCCTGCTGGTGCCTTCTCTGGGCCAAAAAGCAAGTGCTGTCTCCAATAAGGAAGGATTTATGCCCCGCCATCAGGCACACAGAGGCTGAGGCACAGCGGTCCCCTGCGGTTTAGTGTCTTCAACTAACAATCCTCAATATTTTGGGGAGAAATATTTTGGTTTCCCTCAGTGTTCGGCAGGTGGACACCATACTCTGGCTGTTGTGCTTGGCTAATTCCCAGCTGACAGTTTCTTTTTCACACGCTTCTATCCAGAGATACCAGACACCGAAAGGAGCATTTCCAAGAAGCCGCCTCTTAGGAAAGCCCATAGCATGGTGATTACAAGCCCAACCATGGCCTCAGACTGACCTGCATTTGCGTCCCAGCTCTGTCACTCACTGGCTGTGTGACCTTGACTAATTTAACTGAGAGCCTCTGTTTCCTGTCTTATAAGACAGGGCTAAAAATAATACTTTCCTCTTATGGAAATTGGGAAAATTAAATGTGATAACAAACATAAAACACATAAAATAGTACCTAGCACATGATAAGCATTTAACTTAGGCTCTCTACCCATATCATTGTTTGTCAGAGGTCACATTCTCTTGGCAAGTCCCACTGCACTCTGGCAACCCATCCGGGGGCTGAGGAATCAAACAATATGCGGTTTCTATGGAATTCCTGGCGCTAGAAGGAGCTCAGAAGACGAGCTGATGGGTTGTCTTCCATTTCTGGTTTGTCAAATAAAAAAAATTCTGGATGTGGTAAAAGAGAGACCTTCATTCGAAGGAATTATTGCCAGGGCATTGCGGGGGTACTCCTGCAATGGAGGGAGGGGAATGCTGGGACTGGAAGGTCTGTAAACATCTCAAAGGTTGCAAAGGGTTTCTCTATGGTAGGAGGAAACAAGGCTAGGATGAACCAGATGTGGGAAGCAGATGAAAGAGTAACAAATCGAGCAAATTGGAATGTTTGGCCCTGAAGCCACCCTGTTCTCTGAAGGGGCTCAGGCCAAGGGTAAACAAAGTTCTGAGGCTCTGAGGAAGGAGAGAAGCCTAACCAAAGTTTGGGTAACATGTATTTTGCTCTAGTTCTTCAGTGAGGACAAGCAGTTCAGCTAATCATCTGTGAGGCAAAGAAAGGAAATTTTGAGGGTCTGTGTCTGGTCTTAACATAGGTAAAGAAGAAGAGCATCTGTGAGTCTTACTGAAGTGACATGTGGAAGGGTTGGGGGGTGGTCTTTGCAGTAAGCCCTTTTGCAGAACATGAAGGGTGGGGGATTTTCTTTCTTTCTTTCTTTCTTTCTTTCTTTCTTTCTTTCTTTCTTTTTCTTTTTTTTTTTTTTTTTTTGAGACTGAGTCTTGCTCTGTTGCCAGGCTAGAGTGCAGTGGCCTGATCTCGGCTCACTGCAACCTCCGCCTTCTGGGTTCCAACGATTCTTCTGTCTCAGTATCCTGAGTAGCTGGGACTACAGGTGCCTGCCACCACAACGGCTAATTTTTTTTGTATTTTTAGTAGAGACAGGGTTTCACCATGTTGGTCATGGCTGGTCTCGAACTCCTGACCTCAGGTGATCCTCTCACCTCGGCCTCCCAAAGTGCTGGGATTACAGGCGTGAGCCACCATGCCCAGCCCGGGTAGGGGATTTTTCTTTTTTTTTTTTTTGAGATGGAGTCTCGCTCTGTCACCCAGGCTGGAGTGCAGTGGCGCGATCTCGGCTCGCTGCAAGCTCCGCCTCCCGGGTTCACGCCATTCTCCTGCCTCAGCCTCCCGAGTAGCTGGGACTACAGGTTCCCGCCACCACGCCCGGCTAATTTTTTTTTGTATTGTTAGTAGAGACGGGTTTTCACTGTGTTAGCCAGGATGGTCTTGATCTCCCGACCTTGTGATCTGGGTGGGGGATTTCTTAACCTTCACTGTTCACCAGGCCCACAAGGCTCAGGTAAAATTCAACTTTGTCAGGTTACAAATCATGCATTTCCTATTTCTCAAATTGTATTTCAGATAAAAGAGTGAAATGTAGGCTTTAACACGACTTGAGGCACTTCTGGGTCCTTACATAGAGGGTCAGGACTATTTGGAAGAGGAAACTGGGGAAAGGGGCATGTTTATTTGTGACTCCCTTGCCAAGCTGCACCGTTTAGAACATAGGTGCTTGGGACTGTAGCTTGTGTGACTCTCTGACCTGCAAGTGATCAATGAGAAATAAAATGTAAAATGGGCCAGGCGCGGTGGCTCATACCTGTAATCCTAGCACTTTGGGAGGCCGAGGCGGCTGGATCACCTGAGGTCAGGAGTTCAAGACCAGCCTGGCCAACGTGGTAAAACCCCGTCTCTACTAAAAATACAAAATTAGCCGGGCATGGTGGTGCGTGTCTATAATCCCAGCTACTAGGGAGGCTGAGGCAGGAGAATCACTTGAACCTGGCGGCGGGGCAGTGTGGAGGTTGCAGTGAGCTGAGATTGCACCATTGCACTCCAGCCTGGGCCACAAGAGCAAAACTCTGTCTCAAAACAAAAACTAAAAAACGTAAAATGAGGCAACATCAGCACAAATGCTGAAACCAGACTTCGTTTCAACCCATATTGGTTGACCAGCTACTGAGGGCCTGCAGCTCTCTTTCCTGGTGCTTTGGCCAATTCCCTGTCTTTGGCTCAGCACTGAAATGCTGCTCACTGACAGACTTCCGCTTCAGGATTCTCTCTGCCTTCATGGATGTCTAAATGTTTTCCTGTGTTGCTTTGTCTGCCTCTCTTGGGAGAATTCAAACATCTTGCTTGCTTGCGTTGCAGGGCTTTCCATGCCAGTTTGCACCTATAACATCTCCCCCTCATTCTTTTCTCTCTTTTTATAGCCTTTTGTTCTGCAGTGACTTCACTTGAGGGCCACTAATTCATTCTGCAACAGAGCTGGGAAATCTTGGCATTCTTACCACTTGCAGTATTTCTGGAAGCCAGCCTGGATCTGGAGTAGATCCTGAGAGACCACCGCAGAGTCCTCAAGCCTGCCCCCACCCTGGGATGACCATGACCATCTTTTTTTTTTTTTTTTTTTTTTTTTGAGACAGTCTCCCTCTTGTCACCCAGGCTGGAGTGCAGTGGCATGATCTGGGCTCACTGCAACCTCCACCTCCCAGGTTCATGCAATTCTCTTGCCTCAGCCTCCTGAGTAGCTGGGATTACACGTGCCCGCCACCATGCCCGGCTAATTTTTGTAGTTTTAGTAGAGATGGGGTTTCACCATGTTGGTCAGGCTGGTCTGAAACTCCTGACCTCAAGTGATCCGCCCGCCTCGGCCTCCCAAAGTGCTGGGATTACAGGCATGAGCCACTGCGCCAAGCTGAACATCTTTATTAAATGCTCCTGCCAGGTTCTGGGCAGACAAGCTTTGATTTACTTTCCCTTTCAAGAGCCAAGGGAATAAAGCTACCAAGTACGAGTTGATGATTTGAACTAATTCTGAAGATTTGTGAAAATGCTCAAAATCCAAGTGGGGAGTGAAGAGCAGCCGCCTGACAACTAAAACTGGGAAATGGGTGTTATTTGTCTCACAGTCCCCGCTTGCCCCTGCCTGCGCTGCTCCATCTCTTCCCCTCCTCCCTGCCACTTCAGGAGCCCATGCCCTCTCCCCTTATTGAAACCAAAACAAACACTGCTGTTCTAAAAGAAAGGATGTGAATAATAGAATCCTTCGATAACTAGGAGGGCCTTTAGTGAGTTATCTAATCCAACTCCCTCATTTTGTAAAATACTTGTCACTCCACATTTGGAAATCTAAATCTGGCCCTTTTTCCTTACATCTTGGAAGGTTCTAATTATGTATTTTCCTAGAAGTGGAAGAAAAGAAGTCACTTCTCATCTGTTGGTCTCCTTCCTTTTCCTGGAGCCTGCGTCTCCAAGCAGAGAAGGGTATTTTGTGGCACCTCAAAAGAGAAGCAATAAAACATTACACATATCCATGCACCCAGTACCCTGAAGGGTTCCAAAGCCATGTGATATGGTGTGGCCACGTGATATGGTGTGTCCCACCCAGATCTCACCTCGAGTTGTAATAAGCCCCACGTGTCAAGGGTGGAGCCAGGTGAAGATACTTGAACCATGGGGGTGGTTTCCCCCATACTGTTCTTGTGGTGGTGAGTAAGTCTCACAAGATCTGATGGTTTTATAAAGGGGAGTTCCCCTGGGCATACTCTCTTGCCTGCTGCCGTGTAAGACTTGACTTTGCTCTTCATTCACCTTCTGCCATGATTGTGAGGCCTCCCTAGTCATGTAGAACTGTGAGTCAATTAAACTTCTTTTATAAATTACCCGGTCTCGGGTATGTCTTTATTAGCAGCGTGAGAACAGACTAATACACCATGTGAACCATGAGGATAAAGATTCTTAGAGGGGACACACTGGTTAAATAGGGGAGTGGGTGTGGATAGAGTATTAGTCAAAGAAGGTTGTGATCTACCTTTTTTTTTTTTGAGACGGAGGGTTGCTCTGTCGTCTGGGCTGGAGTGCAATGGCATGATCTGGGCTCACTGCAACCTCTGCCTCCCGGTTTCAAGCAATTCTCTTGCCTCAGCCTCCAGAGTAGCTGGGATTACAAGTCCATGCCACATTGCCCGGCTAATTTTTGTATTTTTAGTAGAGACAGGGTTTCACCACATTGGTCAGGCTGGTCTTGAACTCCTGACCTCAGGTGATCCACCTGCCTCGGCCTCCCAAAGTGCTGGGATTACAGGCGTGAGCCACTGCACCCGGCCGATCTACTACTCTTAACACATTTATGTCTGCTGAGAACGCATAAATAGTAGTCAAACAGAGATAGGTGGGGTGTGCTGATTTGCAACCACATCTTAGAGTACTCCTATTTTGCTCTGGGGAGACTTCTGTTCCCCACTTTCAGTCCCTGTACTCCAGATAAAGCCAACTCAGCTCTAGAGGTGGAACATGTGTCCAAGCCTAAGCCAATCAGAACATGCTTATACCCCTGGCCACTGGGACTGGTTCAGAAATGGGCACCTCAGAAATGGGGCCATCTAAGATGGTCCACTCGTTGGATCCTAGGTCTTGCTGCAGCTCCCTAGAACGATTTCTCTCTCGCTCCCTCTCATTGAACTTGAGCCTCAGAGGCTGAGTCGAGAGCTGCTACTTCGACCAACTGCTCGGAGCCTGAGAAAGAAACCAGCACACAGAGAAGAGCAGTCAGCCAAGAAACAGAAAAATCCATTTCCCCTTCACATTGTTGAGCCCTGAGTTAGGCCTCTCCTGAAACTGGTCCTCCATTCCACGAGCCAATAAATTCCCATTTGCCTTAATCCAATTTGAGCTAGTTTTCTATACTGCATACTCAGAGTCCTACCTGAGAGAATCAGTATGCTTAACCCATAATAGGTGTTCAAAAGGTTTTTGTTTTTGTTGTTGTTGTCTGCTTTTTTGTAGAGATGGGGTCTGACTCTGTTGCCCAGGCTTATTTCCAACTTCTGGCCTCAAGCCATCCTCCTGCCTCCCAAAGTGCTGGGATTATAGGCTTGAGCCACCATGCCCGGCCTCAAAAAGTTTTTTTGAATGAATTAGTGAATCAAGCTTTTATCTTAATGTACCATTAAGTTATACACAGATATTTCAGCTTCCTTCCTGGTTCCTTTCGCCAAGTGAGTTAAAAAAAACTTCATGTGTTTAAATTTAAGGTAGAGAGGCCAGGCTCGGTGGCTCATGCCTGTAATCCCAGCACTTTGGGAGGCTGAGGCAGGTGGATCACCTGAGGTCAGGAGTTCAAAACCAGCCTGGCCAACATGGTGAAACCCTATCTCTATTAAAACTACAAAAATTAGCAGGGCGTGGTGGTGGGCGCCTGTAATCCCAGCTGTTTGGGAGGCTGAGGCAGGAAAATCACTTGAACCTGGGAGGCGGAAGTTACAGTGAGCCGAGATCTTGCCATTGCACTCCAGCCTGGGCAACAGGAGCGAAACTCTGTCTCAAAGAAAAAAAAATTAAGGTAGATAAATGGTAGGTATTACTGTGATTGTGATTATTATTTTATAATCTTTGTGGCAGTTTTTGTTTGTTTATTTGACATGGGGTCTTATTCTGTTGCTCAGGCTGGAGTGCAGTGGCGCAATCATAGCTCACTCGAACTCTTGGGCCCAAGCGATCCCCCTGCCTCTGCCTCCCAAAAAGCTGGATTACAGGCATGAATAACCATTCCCACCAGTAGGTATTATTTTATTTATTTATTTTGAGATGGAGTCTCGCTCTGTTACCCAGGCTGGAGTGCAGTGGTGCGACCTTGGCTCACTGCAACCTCCGCCTCCCAGGTTCAAGCGATTCTCCTGCCACAGCCTCCTGAACAGCTGGGATTACAGGGGTCTGTCACCACACCTGGCTCATTTTTTTGTATTTATAGTAGAGGCGGGGTTTCACCATGTTGGACAGGCTGGTCTCGAACTCCTGACCTCAATTGATCTGCCTGCCTTGGCCTCCCAAAGTGCTGGGATTACAGGCATGAGCCGCTGTACCCAGCTGAGTAGCATTTACTTTTGTTTGAAGATGAGCAGAGCAGAAGATGAGAGAGAATTAGGGAGAACAAGAAGGAAGAAAACTAGAGCTGGTGAAGATAAGAAAATTAGTGGAGGACTTCCAGAGTAAGGGGTTACCTACTCAGAAAAGAGGCAAAATTTAAATGCCCTCTAAAAAGCTGGACACTATGGCACCTTAAATGAAGAAACTCAGACTCAGGGCAGAGAACAGTCTTCTAAGGCTTGCACCCTGAAAAGCACAGACTCTTTAAGGGCACTGCAAATTGTATAAACAGGATCAATCTATTAGAAACTCTTGCCAGTGTGTGGGAAAAGAAAATTTATCTTTTGACCTGTGTTTCAAGTACCTTTATATTAGGTAACTACTGACAGACTTGACGGCTTAATACAAGTTGAGTATCCTTAATGCAAAATGTTTGGGACCAGAACTGTTTCAGATTTTGGAATATTTGCATATACATAAGGAGATCTGTTGGGAATGGAGCCCAGGTCTAAATATGAAATTCATTTATGTTTCATATATACCTTATGCACATAGACCGAAGGTGGTTTTATATAATATTTTATTTTTAATCATTTATTTATTTATTTTGAGACAGGTTCTTGCTCTGTCACTCCAGTTGGAGTATAAGGGTGTGATCTCAGCTCACTGCAACCTCAACTTCCCAGGTTTGAGTGATCCTCCCACCTCGGCCTCCCAAGTAGCCGGGACTAAAGACCCATGCCATCCTGCCCAGCTAATTTTTGTATTTTTTTCTTTAATTGAGACAGGGTGCCACTCTGTTGCCCAGGCTGGAGTGCAGTGGTGCCATCTCAGCTCACTGAAAACTCCACCTCCCAGATTCAAGCCATTCTCGTGCCTCAGCTTCTCGAGTAGCTGGGATTAAGGTGCATAGCACTATGCCCAGCTCATTTTTGTTTTTTCAGTAGAGATGGGGTTTCACCATGTTGGCCAGGCTGGTCTCGAACTCCTGGCCTCAGATGATTCACCCACTGCAGCCTCCCAAAGTGCTGGGGTTACAGGTGTGAACCACTGTGCCCAGCCAAATTTTTGTATTATTATTATTATTGTTTTGGTAGAGACAGGGTTTTGCTGTATTGCCCAGGCTGGTCTCGAACTCCTGGGCTCAAGCTATCTGCCCACTTCAGCCCCCCAGAGTGCTGAGATTACAGGTGTAAGCCACTGCGCCCAGCCCATACAATATCTTAAATAATTTTGTATATGAAACAAAGTTTTTATTTTATTATGCTTTGTGGATGCGCTTGCACGAAGGAATCTGAACAGATGCAGAAAAGATATCACAGCTGAAGAGGACTGGGAGGGTCTTTTTTCCTCTGAGAATGCTAAGTAAACTGTGTGCTGTCAGCCTTTGTTTTGACTTCAACTCATCACATGAGGTCATGTGTGGAATTTTTCTCTTGTGGCATCATGTTAATACTCAAAAAAGTTTTGGATTCTGGAACATTTACGATTTTGAATTTTCAGATTAAGGATGTTCAACCTATATAACCATTTATTTTGCATGCAGTTTTGTGAGTATGAAATTTGGGAAGGGCTCTGCTAGACAGTTTGTCTGCCTGGCTTTCTGTCGGGTAATGAGATCTGGAACATGCACTTCCCAGGTGGTGTCTTTCCTCACAGTCTCTCAAATGCTCTGGAGCTTTTCTTGTTCTATACCTAGCACTGGAGCCCCTAGGGCCCCTTCATGTGGCTTGGACTTCTCATAGCATGGGGGCTCTCAGAATAGTTGCACTTCGCCGAAGTGGGAAGTAGATGTTACCAGGCCAAACAAGGGCTGCACCTGAAAAAGCGCAATGTCACTATTACCATATTCTATTGGTCAAAGCAGTCACAGGGCCCAGGTTCAAAGGAGAGTGACAAGATCACATTGCAGAAGAGCACTAGGATCAGGAGGATATTGTGGCTGCTTTTGGAACATACAATCTGCCACAAGCTATAATTTATTTATTTTTTTGAGACAGGGTCTCGCTCTGTTGCCCAGGCTGGAGTGCAGTGGTGCGATCTCAGCTCACTGCAACCTCTGCCTCCCAGGTTCAAGCAATTCTCCTGCCTTAGCTTCCCAAGTAGTTGGGACTACAGGCATGCGCCACCACCCCCAGCTAATTTTTGTATTTTTAGTAGAGACAAGGTTTTGCTATGTTGGCCAGGCTGGTCTCGAACTCCTGACCTCAGGTGATCCACCCGCCTCGGCCTCCCAAAGTGCTGAAATTACAGGTGTGAGCCACCGTGCCTGGCCACAACCTATAATCATATCCTTATAAATGTATTACGTAGAAATAATCCAAGGAATATATAAGAACAGAAAAGTTCGTCTCAA
The DNA here is from genome assembly GCF_000001405.40 of Homo sapiens. Lineage (NCBI taxonomy): Eukaryota > Metazoa > Chordata > Mammalia > Primates > Hominidae > Homo > Homo sapiens. The sequence continues at coordinate 31,621,715 of NC_000012.12, read as the reverse complement.
CTTTAGTAGGGAAAAAATTTGGAAAAAACCTACATGTCTCCTGATAGATAAATAGCTAAGTAAATTATCACATACCAACTAACAGGAATATGAAGCTGTAGTAATTAAGATGATTATGAAACAATTTGAATGAAAGTTGGTATAAATGGAGAAAAAGTAAAATTAAGAAGCACATACACTGTGATGATAATTATGTAAAAGCCTGTATGCATCTGGACAAAGTCTGGAAGGAAATCAGTGGAAATGGAGATAATTGCATTGAGGTGGTAAGATTATGTAAGCCTTAGATTTTCTTCTTTATTGTTATAGCATCACAAAAAATAAAAATGAGAAGAAAAGAAGAGAATTACAATTTTAATGGTCAGTGCTCAATACTTGGTAGGTACATGTACTAAGTGCAGGGAAGGCAAAGGGGACACTCATTACACTCTAATTCACTCAGATTCAGAGAAACTTCCAGGCCAGAGGAGCCACAGATATTTATAATTAATAACCTGTTTTGACCCCTTATCTTTGGAATGCTGATTAACATGAAGCAATAATTACTATTAATATATTAGTCTTTCAATATTGCTGAGACTATTCATAAGACTGAAAACCCTTTAAAAAGCTCCCACGACGGCCGGGCGCGGTGGCTCACGCCTGTAATCCCAGCACTTTGGGAGGCCGAGGCGGGCGGATCACGAGGTCAGGAGATCGAGACCACGGTGAAACCCCGTCTCTACTAAAAATACAAAAAATTAGCCGGGCGCAGTGGCGGGCGCCTGTAGTCCCAGCTACTCGGGAGGCTGAGGCAGGAGAACGGCGTGAACCCGGAAGGCGGAGCTTGCAGTGAGCGGAGATCGCGCCACAGCACTCCCGCCTGGGCGACAGAACGAGACTCCGTCCCAAAAAAAAAAAAAAAAAAAAAAAGCTCCCACGACACATAAACATAAGGTGATATTTTAATCTTTATCATAATGAATTTATCCAATCCAGGGTTTCTAAAATTGTCAGTGGTAATTTGGCCTGGGAATTTATCCTAGAATACTCTGACGAGAACTAGATTAATTCTGGTCTCCCACTTCACAGTGTTCTGTTTGCCTTGGGACTCATTGTAGGTAAAAAGGATGTGGAGTCTGGAATAGTCTATGCTTATGAAACCGCAAGCAAAATTCCTAGAGTGGCCCTGAATTCAACCCATCTTCCTGGGACTATGACACTCATGGCTATGGGTGAAACCAACCTTTGAACAGTCATTGCATTCCAGTACTCCCATAACTTGCTAGTCATTGCATTTTTTTCAAGGCCTCTTTTGAAGAGTTATTAAGGAAGGTAAAAGTGCATAAAGGTCAAAGTCTTAAGAAAGTCTGATTAAATAATTGCAAAAACAATTTTTTTTTTTTGAGGCAAAGTCTTGCTTTGTTGCCCAGGCTGGAGTGAAGTGGCATGATCTCGGCTCACTACAACCTCCGCCTCCCAGGTTCAAGCGATTCTCCTGCCTCAGACTCCTGAGTAGCTGGGATTACAGGCATCTGCCACCATGCCTGGCTACAGAAATGTTTTTTTAAAAAAAGAACATATCATGAGTTGGCATAGCCACTAATTATGTTAACATAGTTAATAACTGGGGAAAACCTGAATGAGGGAAGTGTTTAGATTACATCTTGGTAAATTATTTTGATTTGGTTCAATTGCCTTTTGGGAAGTTAAAAAAAGGGAAGGGGCTATCTACTGGTTGCCAAAAAAATTACTGATATTCTTAGACTTGTCAAAAGACAAAGTTACAACAAGTTTAGTTTAAATATCTCAGTTGGGCTGGGTGCGGTGGCTCATGCCTGTAATCCCAGCACTTTGGGAGGCTGAGGCGGGTAAATCACTTGAGGTTAGGAGTTCAATACCAGCCTGGCCAACATGGTGAAATCCTGTCTCTACTAAAAATACAAAAATTAGCCGGGCATGGTGGTGTGCACCTGTAGTTCTAGCTACTTGGCAGGCTGAGGTGGAAGAATCCCTTGAACCCAGGAGTTGGAGGTTGCAGTGAGCTGAGATCTCACCACTACACTATAGCCTGGGCAACAGAGTGTGACTCTGCCAAAAAAAAAAAAAAAAAAAAAATCTCAATTGGCTTTATTTGCAATTCTAGAAACAGGTAACACTTTGTTCCACAAAACAGAATCATGAGCTGAGCAGAAGGCATTGGCTTCACAGAGCAAGAAGGAATGAAGAAAGAAGCAGGCTGGGTGCAGTGGCTCACACCTGTAATCCCAGCACTTTAGGAGGCCCAGAAGGGTGGATCACTTGAGGTCACGAGTTCAAGATCAGCCTGGGCAACATGCTGAAACTCCATCTCTACTAAAAAATACAAAAATTAGCCGGGTGTGGTGGCCCATGCCTGTAATCCCAGCTACCCGGGAAGCTGAGGTGGGAGGATCATGGTGGACCAGCCCATGAGGTGGAGGTTGCAGTGAACTGAGATGGCACCACTGTACTCCTGCCTGGACGACAGAGCGAGCCTCTGTCTCAGGAAAAAAAAAAAAAAAAGAAGAAGCAAAGATTATGTCCATTGTTTCAAAGTGACTTTTCTTGTAAGATGAGACAAGGAGATAGAACAACAGAAAAATAACTGATTAGTTAACATCAGGCTTCTTGGGGCTACTTTTTCTGTGTGTGAAAGGATTAAAGCAGAGGGAAACTCATTATCGTGACTCTTGAAGATTAAGTGACCTGTTTGGGAATTTGGCTATCTCTCTCTCCTGCTTTCTCTTGAGACAGGAATAATACAGGGTGGTTGCAAGAGAACAGAAAATTCCAGGCAGCAGTTTCACATGCCTAGCAAAATGAAACTGTTGAAATAGCTCCATAAACTGGGGACTGATAAGACCATGAAAAACAGGATGTGGGCCAAGCTGGCTAAAACCAACTGGACCCAACAGAGAGCAGGATTTGACCTAGGTTTCTCCTAGGACCTCATTATTCACCCATTAATAAACAAATCGCACACCCACCTACACTGTGACAAGAACACTGTATTTGGTGTTAAAATGGGCAGCATCACAGTTCTGAGAAATCTTCACCTTTTTCCAGGAATCTTCATGAATAGTCCACCCCTTGGGTAAAGAAACCCATATAAGAAACCCCAAGCCCCTTTGTGCAGCTCTCTCATGAGTATGCCCATGCTCCCCTTTCTTGAGTGTGTATTTTTACTTTGCAATAAATCTCCGTACTTTCACGATTTTCTGACTCATCCTTGAATTCCTTCTCATCATGGTATCAAGAACCTGCACACTGGCCTGGGTCAGGGTTTCATCAGTGTTTGGGAACTTCCCCCAGCCCACTGGTCTCACTCTGAAGATCAGATAACAACTTATTGAAGTTTGGTGACAGAACTTTAGCATGGGTGACTCCATTTTGATTTTTGGTTTTGTCTGTTGGAGCATAGTACAGAAACTTAATCCAAAAAAACAACCTCCTATACTTTTTATTCAACAGAATCAACATTTCAGGTTTCTTTTTTAACCTGAAATTGGTGTTTCATTTAATAAATGCTTACCTAGTAGTTACTCGGTGGCATTATCCTGTACTTTACAGACATTAACTAATTTAGTTATCAATAACCCATTGAGTAGAAAAAACAGTTTTTCCTCTGCTCTCACACCAGTCTCACAGAAGACTTCTGTGACCAAATGTGTGGGAGTTTCTCTCCACCAGCAAGAAATAAAAAAAATTAGGGGGAAGGGCAAGGGGGTGCACCTATGGTCCCAGCTAGGGATGCTGAGGTGGGATTACCTCTTGAGCCTGAGAGGTTGATAGGCTGCAGTAAGCCTTGATCATGCCACTGCACTCCAGCCTGGGTGACAGAGCAAGACCCTGTCTAAGAAAAATTCTGCAATGGACACTAGCTGGGTGGTGGTGGTGGCAGCAGGGGGTGGGGGGGGCAGGTCCTCTAATTCAATCCGATTCTCATACTATCTACTTGGGTAGTGTCAGATGCCATAGGTTGAGGACTCAGTCCCACTTCCAATGCAATTGCAAGCCCCAGGTTGTTTTGTCTGTGCTTCTGACCTACCAACTATAAATCACGGTTCCATGACCCCCTTCTTGGGGGATTTATTTGCTAGAGCTGCTCACAGAGCTCAGGGAAATACATATCTACATTTATCAGTTCATTATAAAGAATATTATTGGCAGGTGCCTGTGATCCCAGTTACTCAGGAGGCTGAGACAGGAGAAACGCTTGAACAGGGAGGCAGAGGTTGCAGTGAGCCAAGATTGTGCCATTGCACTCCAGCCTGGATGACAGAGTGAGGCTCTGTATAAAATAAAATAAAGTAAAGTAAAAAGGCTGGGCACGGTGGCTCACGTCTGTAAACCCAGAACTTTGAGAGGCCAAGGTGGGCGGATCATGAGGTCAAGAGATCAAGACCATCCTGGCCAACATGGTGAAACCCCATCTCTACAAAAAATACAAAAATTAGCTGGGCATGGTGGCACGTGCCTGTAGTCCCAGTTACTCAGGAGGCTGAGGCAGGAGAACCGTTTGAACCAGGGAGCTGGAGGTTGCAGTGAGCCAAGATCGCGCCACTGCGCTCCAGCTTGGTGATAGAGCAAGACTCCGTCTCAAAAATATATATATATTGTAAAGGATACTTGAAAGGATGCATAGGGCAAGGTATGGGAAGGGGCATAGAGCTTCCATGCCCTATGTGGGGTGAGAGGCACCCTCCAGGAACCTCCATGTGTTCAGCTATCCAGAAGCTCCCCCAGCCAGACCTTTGGGGTTTTTATGGAGGCTTCATTATGTAGGCATGATTGATTAAATCACTGGCCGTCAGGATTAACTTAACCTTCAGCCCCTTCCCCTTCCCAGAAGTTGGATAGGGCTGAAAATCATAACTCTCTGATTTTGTCTTGGTCTTTCACGTGCCCAACCTCCATCCTGAAGCCACCTAGGGGCTGCCAGCCATCAGTCAACTCATTAGGTTACAAAAAGACACTTATCACTTGGGAGATTCCAAAGATTTTATGCCAGGAGATGGTAGGAAGACCAAATAAATATTTCACAATATCACATCCCTAATGTAGGTCCTATTATCACCATTCTCATTTTGCAGGTGAGGAGACTGAAGCATGAGATTAAGAAATCAAGACCGCCTTCCCCCTGTAGGGCCGGCCGGCGAGTCCCAGTGAGAGCGGAGGGTGCCAGAGGTAGGGGGCCGAGAAACAAAGTTCCCGGGGCTCCCTCCGGGGCCGCGGTCGGGGCTGCGCGTTTGACCGCCCCCCTCCTCGCGAAGGCAATGGCTTCCAAACTCCTGCGCGCGGTCATCCTCGGGCCGCCCGGCTCGGGCAAGGGCACCGTGTGCCAGAGGATCGCCCAGAACTTTGGTCTCCAGCATCTCTCCAGCGGCCACTTCTTGCGGGAGAACATCAAGGCCAGCACCGAAGTTGGTGAGGTGGCAAAGCAGTATATAGAGAAAAGTCTTTTGGTTCCAGACCATGTGATCACACGCCTAATGATGTCCGAGTTGGAGAATAGGCGTGGCCAGCACTGGCTCCTTGATGGTTTTCCTAGGACATTAGGACAAGCCGAGGCCCTGGACAAAATCTGTGAAGTGGATCTAGTGATCAGTTTGAATATTCCATTTGAAACACTTAAAGATCGTCTCAGCCGCCGTTGGATTCACCCTCCTAGCGGAAGGGTATATAACCTGGACTTCAATCCACCTCATGTACATGGTATTGATGACGTCACTGGTGAACCATTAGTCCAGCAGGAGGATGATAAACCCGAAGCAGTTGCTGCCAGGCTAAGACAGTACAAAGACGCGGCAAAGCCAGTCATTGAATTATACAAGAGCCGAGGAGTGCTCCACCAATTTTCCGGAACGGAGACGAACAAAATCTGGCCCTACGTTTACACACTTTTCTCAAACAAGATCACACCTATTCAGTCCAAAGAAGCATATTGACCCTGCCCAATGGAAGAACCAGGAAGATGTGGTCATTCATTCAATAGTGTGTGTAGTATTGGTGCTGTGTCCAAATTAGAAGCTAGCTGAGGTAGCTTGCAGCATCTTTTCTAGTTGAAATGGTGAACTGATAGGAAAACAAATGAGTAGAAAGAGTTCATGAAGAGGCCCTCCTCTGCCTTTCAAAAGGGTGGTCACCTACACATGTTTAAGGTGTCTCTGCACATGTCTCAAGCCCATCACAAGAAAGCAAGTACAGTGTGGATTTCAAATGGTGTGTAACTTCAGCTCCAGCTGGTTTTTGACAGCTGTTGCTGTGGTAATATTTTTTACATGTGATGGTGATAGTCTCTGGTTCTCCCCATCCCCACAAAGGCTGTTGAACCACAGCACCAGGAAGCCTGAGAATGAATCCTGAGGGCTCTAGCCCAGGCTTTGTCCCAGGCTTTCTGGTGTGTGCCCTCCTGGTAACAGTGAAATTGAAGCTACTTACTCATAGTGGTTGTTTCTCTGGTCTTGAGTGACTGTGTCCACAGTTCATTTTTTTCCGGTAGGAATAACTCCTTTTCTACATCCACACTCCATAGAGTCTCTCCTTTTCAGATATCCTGGGATGAAAGAATTTGGCTTTTTTTTTTTTTTTTTTTTTGACATCTGTTTTCACTCTTAGGCTTTTAAACAATAGTTATTGCTCTTATCCCTCTCAGATTCTAATAACTGAGAGTGATGGGGCTATATTGAATCTCTGTATGCACTGAGAACTGAGCTATGAAGAGGATCTTATTAAACTGCTGGTCTGACTTTATGGATTGACACTGTTCCTTTCTTTTATTGTGAAAAAAAAAAAAAACCCTGAAAGTCTTGGGAACCCCCTAAAGTCTTTTGGGAATCCTCAAAAAGCATGGGAAGTTAAGTATTTAGCTACATAAATGTTGTAAGATCATATCTTATGTATAGAAGTAATAAGACCATTTGGAATTACTGGACTAATTGAATAGTTAAGGTTTCTATTCGGGACAATAAAATGTATTTTGAAAGTGCTGCTAACTATTGATGCTGACAGTGTTTCACTCCTATGAGTGACCCAAACATATTATAAATATGTGGTAAAGGGAATGGAGCCTGTGGGGTTGAGCAGAATGTTGTACTAGCTGTGCCTGGACTGAGTATAGCAGCTTTATGATTATGAGAAAACAAATTCTTTATTTTTTTTTCTGTTCCAAAGATTCATCCTATGGGGTGGCCATAAAGTCTAGAATTAGATACTAATATTTTGTCATTCATTATAACATATCAATAAACCATTTGTTAAAAGATTTGCCTGGTTTCCAGACTTGGTGGCCACCTTGAATAATTCTTGCTGTCTTCTGGGAAGGATGATGAAATTTATTCCTGCTGCCTTAAAAATATGTATCCCTTCTTCACCCATCATGACTGTCCCCAGTGAGTGTCCTTTACTATTCTTGGGAGTGACTCCTGTCTAACTTTTCATACTGGCGAGAAGAAAAGAGGCCTATTTTAACACTTTAGTGGTGTTGAAACACATTACTTACTTTCTGAAGATGTCCCAGTGAATCCTCTGTCAATTCACTGCCATATGTAATCTATATGATAAGGAATGCATCTTCCAAGTACTGCCCAAACTCTTGCCAGCTCCTCTCCCATTGTCCCTTCATGTGAATATTTCTTGGCTACCTTAGTGGAAATATAGATCAGTCTTCTCCCCATCCATCCTCTCAAACATAATGAGATTGTTTACTTTTTAGATTTATGCAGTGAAAATGCCCAGTCAGGTCTGAATCGTCAGTGCATTATATTGACCCTGAGCACTTTAGAATTTAGAGTTGCAATTGAATGCCAGCTGTGGAGATGGGGTGCATATCAGATATATAAATAAAGCTCAGGTTTGCTAGGGAACCAGGTATAGAGAAAAATAAGTCTGATATGAGGAAAATTGCACAATTTAGAGTAGTTATGCCGTAGAGAAAATTTCCACAAACTAGGAAATGTAGAGAGTTATTCTATAGAATACTCAAAAGAGGAAAGTATGTGATTTTTGGAAACAGGAAAATCTTCAAACTTCTTTCTTCACTTCCCTTTGTGTTTAGCTGACCCTCCAATGTGATCATTGCCTTTGGAGTTTGGGAGAGGTACGGGAAGTGGCCTGATGCCTGCTTCCATACTTCACTCCTCCATCCATCCTTCCCTCCCTCTTCCCCTCCAGCTAAATGGACAATTCTAGCCAACATTGAGTCACTCAATAAGTCTCAACAGTGGGTGTGTTTGCTGAGATTGTCCAGCAGTTGAGCAGTTTGGTCTCACCTCCCTCGCTAGTTGAGACCAAAAAGAGACAAATAACTTTTTCATGGTCTTTGAAACATAATGCTTATTTCGTGGTCAATGGCTTTAAAAAAATCTGTTTCTTGTTTTCTTCAACAAACTCACTAGTTTTCCCTTAAATGATATTGTAAAAATTAAAGTAATCTTGAAAATGTTTTGACAAAAGTAAAATTAAAGGGACAAAAAAAAAAAAGAAATCAAGACCACTAGTGAGTAAGCAGCCCAGGTAGGACTCAAACCCAGACAGGCAGCCTCCAGAGTCCTGTACTTAACTGCTATACTATGCTGTCTGGTTAAGAGAATAGATCTTTCTTTCTTTCTTTCTCTTTCTTTCTTTTCTTTTCTTTCTTTCTTTCTCTTTCTTTCTTCTTTCCCTCTTTCTCTCCTTCCTTCCGTCTTTCCTTCTTTTCTTTTCTTTTCTTTCTCTCTTTCTTTCCTTTCTTTCTTTTTCTTTCTTTCCCTCTTTCTTTTCTTTCCTTTCTCTCTCTCTCTCTTTTCTTTCTTTCTTTTGACAGTGTCTAACGCTGTCACCCTAGCTGGAGTGCATGGTGTTCATAGTTCACTGTAGCTTTGAATTCCTGGGCTCCAGCAATCTTACTGCCTCAGCCTCCAAAGTAGCTGGGAGTACAGGCATACGCTACCACACCCGACTAATTTGAAAAAATTTTTTTGTAGAGAAGTAGTCTCTTTTTTTTCTTTTTTGTAGAGATGGGGTCTTTTTTTTTTCTTTTCTTTTCTTTATTTTTTTGAGACGGAGTGTCGCTCTGTCACCCAGGCTGGAGTGCAGTGGTGCAATCTCGGCTCACTGCAAGCTCTGCCTCCTGGGTTCACACCATTCTCCTGCCTCAGCCTCCTGAGTATCTGGGACTATAGGTGCCTACCACCATGCCCGGCTAATTTTTTGTATTTTTAGTAGAGATGGGGTTTCACCGTGTTAGCCAGGATGGCCTCGATCTCCTCATCTCGTGATCTGCCCACCTCAGCCTCCCAAAGTGCTGGGATCACAGGCGTGAGCCACCACGCCCGGCCAGAGATGGGGTCTTGCCATGTTGCCCAGGTTGGTCTTAAACTTCTGGACTCAAGCAATCTGGCCACCTTGGCCTCCCAAAGTGCTGGGATTACAGGTGTGAGCCACCTTACCCAGCTTGGAAATTTCATTATAACACATATATCTACAAAGAGTTTGTATAACAAAATATTTCCATATCTAGGTGTATGCTTTTTGATCAAGTTGCTGCAAAGACTCCTATACTCAAAATAGTTCATAAGCCCTCTCTACTCTAGTTTGTACAACTCTGCATTAGGAAAGATGCTATAGTTTGCAATACAGCTGAGCCATTTAGAGTATTTCTTTTTTCTCAGCTGCCAGATAGTCATACAATAGGTAAAATATACTGAACCTTGGCATGGTGTGCTTGCCAGTTTCATTGATTACCTCCACCTCCCTTGACCCCATGAAACACTCCTGGTATGCAGGCCCCAGTATAGTTCCTTGAATCTAGGCTGGCCTTGTGACTCTATTAACCAATAAAATATGGCAGAAGTGATGCTGTGCTAAGTCCAGGCTTAAGTATTGGAAAGACTGGTATCTTCCACATTTTGCTCTTGGGAACCCTGACCTGCACTTAAGAAGTCCAACTACCTTGCTGTACAGACCACATGCAGATGCCATGTGAAGAGGGATGTGGAGCGGGGAGCCCAGGCCTGCTCTTCCCAGGGGCAGAGAAGTCAGGGTTTGAGGAATGGGGGAAGAGAATCTGGTAGGTTCGGGTTGGGAGTACAGGGTAGTAGCTGGTTACCAACCTTTTCAGAAGAATTTTAATATTTTAACATTGAGTGCAACAATAGCAGTACAAACCAGTTGAAAAGTAGCCATGGCTTTAGCAAGTAGGCTATCAAGATATTACTCCTTTTCTGAATTCAGAGAGGTTATTTTCAAAAGCAGAGAAGTTGGATTTCAGTTTTGCTGTTTCTTGTCCTGTAATCAACTTGCTATATTCCTAGACCTTGGATAAAATTAACCAACCTATCTGTTAAACATGGGAATGTGGTTTATATGTTCAGTTTAGGGTAATTTTAATACAACAAACAATTCAAGTATTACATGGAAATAATCTCAAAAATTTAGATTCCTATATAGTTCAATTTGAAAACATTTTATATTACTACTAAATATTATCTAAGCTATGTGACTATAAGTAAGACCTATTTTTTTATTTTTATTAAAAAAATTTTTTTTGTAGGGATAGGGTCACCCAAGCTGGTCTTGAACTCCTGGGCTCAAGTGAACCTCCCACCTAGGCCTCCTAAAGTGCTGGGATTACATGCATGACCCACCGTGCCTGACCAGTAAGACTTTTAATATTACCGACTGTATGTTATGTGATATTAAGGGGTTCATTTTTTGTAGATGTGACACTGGAATTCTGATTGTGCCTTGAAAAGACAAAAAGAGTTTTATCTCCTAGATATACGTATTACAGTATTTTCTCATGGAATGACCTGATGTGATATCTGACAGTTGATTTTTTTTTTTTTTTTTTTGAGACAGAGTCTTGCTCTGTTCCCCAGGCTGGAGTTCAGTGGCACCATCCTGGCTCACTGCAACCTCTACCTCCCAGGTTCAAGTGATTCTCCTGCCTCAGCCTTCCGAGTAGCTGGGATTACAGTTGCCTGCCACCATGCCCAGCTAATTTTTGTATTTTTAGTAGAAACAGGGTTTCACCATATTGGCCAGGCTGGTCTTGAACTCCTGACCTCAAGTGATCTGCCCACCTTGGGCTCCCAAAGCGCTGGGAGTACAAGCATGAGCCATCATGCCTGGCCTGACAGTTGATTTTTTAATTTATTTTTCTAATTTAATTTTTAAAATTTTAATTTATTATTTATTTATTTATTTTTGAGACGGAGTCTTGCTCTGTCGCCCAGGCTGGAGGGCAGTGGCACAATCTCAGCTCACTGCAAGCTCCGCCTCCTGGGTTCACACCATTCTCCTGCCTCAGCCTCCTGAGTAGCTGGGACCACAGGTTCCAGCCACCACGCCCGGCTAATTTTTTGCATTTTTAGTAGAGATGGGGTTTCACTGTGTTAGCCAGGATGGTCTCGATCTCCTGACCTCATGATCTGCCCGCCTTGGCCTCCCAAAGTGCTGGGATTACAGGCATGAGCCACTGTGCCCAGCCTATTTTTAATTTTTTTATTATTTTTTATTTTTTTGAAACGGAGTCTCGTTCTATAGTCCAGGTTGGAATGTAGTGGCACAATCTTGGCCCACTGCAACCTCTGCCTCTTGGGTTCAAGCAATTCTCCTGCCTCAGCCTCCTGAGAAGCTGGGATTAGAGGTGCACACCACCATGCCTGGTGAATTTTTGTATTTTAGTAGAGACAGGGTTTCACCATGTTGGCCAGGCTGGTCTCCAACTCTTGACCTTAAGTGATCCCCCTGCCTTGACCTCCCAAAGTCCTGGGATTACAGGCATGAGCCACCATGCCCTGACCAACAGTTGATTTTAAATAATCTAGTGTGCAGGGGGTGAGAGCAGAGGGGTTGTAAATGAAATAGATTGGCCATATGTTGATAAATGTTGCCATATGTTGATAAATGTTGAATCTGGGTAATAGATACATGGGTGCTCATTATTCTATTCTTTCTATTTTGTGTGTGTTTGGAAATTTCTATAACAAAAAGTTTAAGAAAAAAGCTCAATAGTTATTCGAGATTTGTTCAAAACAGACATGAGATTGCAATTGTTTTCTACCTTTCACTTGCTTTAGGGTTGCTTTTCTTGAAAGGATTTTGTGAAATTGTATGTTTTAATACGAATATAAAAAGTAGTGTGTATTTAACCATAACCTCTTTTATAGTAGCTTCTGGGTGCCTCCTATACACTTCCAATCTTAGCAACAAGAATAAATAATTCCCTCTAATTTGGCCTCAACACTCAACTGCTGTCACATTAATTGCTACGTTTGTGTAGCTAATGCCTGCCTGTAGCCAGTGATAACATTTTAAAATACATTACAAGATGGACAATATTTTAGTGCCTAAATTCAGATATTAACCTTATAAGCTTTCCATTTTTTGGTAACTTTTTAAAAGTTAAACATTTTAAATTCTGTTATTGTCTTATTTCTTTATTATAATCTGGCCGTATGTTATCTTAGAGGCATCTCCAGAACTCACTTTTTACCCAACAATGTTGACAAGGTGGCTCCACCATATTTTAAAATTTCTAGCTATACCTTATATAGTATATATCCCTAAGTAAGATATTCTTCACTCACTCTTTTCACTGGTATTTATAATGGATTCAGTTTATAGATAACTATAATAGATTTGTAGAAAGGGAATTTATAAAAAGGCTTAAGTGGGTATTGTAAGCTTGAATTTTATGTTCTTTTTTTAATTTTATGTTCTTAATAACTTAAAATTTCAAAACTGATGTCTGAGGGTTACCTATTATTTTCTCTATTCATTTCTATTTTTCATTTTTATGTATTTTCATTTTTTTTTTTTTGAGACAAAGTCTAACTGTGACACCCAGGCTGGAGTGCAGTGGAACAATCATGGCTCACTGCAGCTTTGATCTTCCAGGCTCAAGCAACCCTCCTGTTAGAAGTAAAATGTTGTGTTTTTTTTTATTTTTTTATTTTATTATTATTATACTTTAAGTTTTAGGGTACATGTGCACAATGTGCAGGTTAGTTACATATGTATACATGTGCCATGCTGGTGTGCTGCACCCATTAACTCGTCATTTAGCATTAGGTATATCTCCTAATGCTATCCCTCCCCCCGCCAAAAATGTTTATTTAGAAATAGAATGCTTGTTCCTTGGTACCACAAGGAAAAATCAGCATTTAGACAAAAAGTTTTCTCAGCAAGGCAATTTTACCTTCTGCAGAAAGGGTGCTCCTCACAGATGGAACAATGGTGAGACCACACCTGAACAAAGGAGGGAAGCAATTTTATTCCTTACACAGCTTGTCCCTGCTAATGTGTCCTGTCTCCATTGGCTGGAGCTGGACCTCACAATCTAAATTAAACCTGACTGGCTAATAACTTAAAACTTTCCTAAATAGGTAAAAGCAAAGGAGAACAAAGAAAAAGAGGAAGTTGCTTATGAAAGGAAACAAATATCTTGGTTAAAGTACAAAGACATAGAATGTACTCATTCCCTTATATCTAGCAGCTACATAGGATAGGGCTTAACCAAGAGTTATTAGCATAAAGCAAGGAGGCTTGAGGGAAGTTACTCTTTAAAAGAAACTATTACTTCTAACACTTATGATTTATTCTTTAACAAGAAGGGAAATTTTGAAGAGAAAACTTTTTACTTTCTACACATCCCATCTCAGCCTCCCAAGCAGCTGGGACTACAGGCACATGGCACCAAATCTGGCTGGATTTTGTATTTTTTGTTGAGACAGGTTCTCACTATGTTGCCCAGGCTGGTCTCAAACTCCTAGCCTCAAGTGATCCTCTCACATCAGCCTCCCAAAGTGCTGGGATTATAGGCATGAGCCCCTGCACCCAATCTCTACTAATTTTTAAAGGCTAAAATATGCTATTATTTTTGTGATTTTTTAGTAGTCATTTAAAAATTTTTCTTATTGAATTAATTAAATAATTTTTAGAAATGGAGTTTGCTATGTTGCCAGGCTGCTCTGAAACTCCTGGCCCCAAGTGATGCTCTGGCCTCAGCCTCCTGAGTTGCTGGGATTACATGCATGAGCCACCATGCCCAACTCAGAAGTCTATTTCATATCACACGTATGATAATAATTTAATCACAAAGGACCGTACATTTAATAATGTTTATAAGAGCTAAGGAGATCAAGCAAAGATGTGTGAAATGAGTCAAACCTTCAATCCTCTCAGTCTGGTATTTACTAGTGTAAGAAAAAAATTAAAATGTATAACTTGAATTACAGTTGACTCTTGAACATAGGCGTTAGGGGCACCGACACTTCCTCAAGTAGAAAATTTGCATTTAACTTTTGACTCCCCCAGAATTTAACTACTAATAACCTACTGTACAGCACAAGCCTTATGGATAATATAAACAGTTGATTAACACATATTTTGTATGTTATATGTGTTATGTATTGTATTCTTAAAGTAAGCTAAGTAAAAGAAAATGTGAAGAAAATCATAAGGAAGTGAAAGTATGTTTACTGTTTATTAAGTGGAAGTAGCTCTTCATAAAAGTCTCCATCCTCATCATCTTCATATTGAGTAGGCTGAGGAGGAGGAGGAAGAACAGGCTGTCTCAGGGGCAGCAAAGGCAGAAGAAAATTGGCATATAAGCAGACCCACACAGTTCAAACCAGTGTTGTTCAGGATCGGCTGTATAATCTACCTTAGAGAAAAAATTTCACTTTTTTTTTCTTTCTTTTTTTTTTTTTGAGACGAAGTTTCCCTCCTGTTTCCCAGGCTGGAGTGCAATGGCGTGATCTCAGCTCACTGCAACCTCTGCCTCCTGGGTTCAAGCAATTCTCCCACCTCAGCCTCCCAAGTAGCTGGGATTATAGGTGCCCACCACCACGCCTGGCTAATTTTTGTATTTTTAGTAGAGACAGGGTTTCACCACCTTGGCCAGGCTGGTCTTGAACTCCTGACCTCAGGTGATCTGCCTGCCTTGGCCTCCCAAAGTGCTGGGATTACAGGCATGAGCCACCGTACCGCACCCGGCCTTTTTTTTTCTTTTTGAGATGGGATTTTGCTGTGTTGTCAGGCTGGATTTGAACTCCTGGGCTCAAGGGATCTTCCCACCTCAGCCTTCTGAGTAGCTGGGACTACAGGTGCCTGCAAAATTTCACTTTTGAAAAATATGGGGCAAGTTCAATGGCTCATGTCTGCCGTCTGTTATTCCAGGACTTTGGTAGGCAGAGGCCGGAAGATTGTCTGAGCCCAGGAGCTGGAGACCAGCCTGGACAATATGGTGAGGTCCTGTCTCTACTTAATAATACATTTTTTAAAATTGAAAATAGAAAAAGAAAAATATGGCCAGGTGAGGTGGCTTACGCCTGTAATCCCAACACTTTGGGAGGCTGAATTTGGCAGATCACCTGAGGTCTAGAGTTTGAGACCAGTCTGGCCAACATGGTGAAACCTTGTCTCTACTAAAAATACAAAAAAAATTAGCTGGACATGGTGGCACACGCCTGTAGTCCCACTGCACTCCAGCCTGAGCAACAGAGGGAGACTCTATTTCAAAAAAAAAAAAAAAAAAGTAAAAGAAAAGTATGATTTCCCCAATTTAAATTGAGATTAGAGGTAATGCATATGTTAGCTAGATTTAGTCATTATACCATGTATATATACTTCAAAATATTGTTATACACAGTAAATACATATAATTTTATCTGTCAATTCAAAAAAAAATTAAAACTGAGATTACCCTTTTTGTGTTGGGCCATTTATTTACTAGTCAACCTGTTTGAGGAGCTTGATGTTTTTTTCAGCTTATATAGACAACAATTTCGCTGAATGATAGAGAGTTTGCTTATATATTAAGGACAGAGAAGCTAAACACAGGGACATAAAGTTATTTTATCCATCGTAAACTCTAAAGGGGAGTATAAATCTAAAGTGGTTGATTCATGCTCCTGGCTTTTTGCTACTAGATAATGCTCTCTCCTACTCTTAGGTAATAACATGCATAGCCAAAATTAAGCCTCTTATGTTGCCTTGGATTCTGTTACTTTAAATAGGCACTCACCAGATTATAATTTTGGCTCGTTTGGAGATTGCTGCAGTCTGATACTAATTTTTTTCCTCCCCCCAACCCACAAAATTACAATGGGCAAGCTAGAAGTCAGGAACAATTATTCCAACAGTACAATTAAATGGGCTTTTCTCCTGGCATTTTTCTTGCCATCTTTAATTACTGTTTGAGTCTGAAGTTAAAGGAAATAGTCACAGGAGAAGAATTCTTAAGAGAGAGAGAGGAGAATGAGTCCATACTTTTCCTCAAACAGAATAGATACTTTCCAAAACATTTTCCAAAAACTATTATGTAAGCTAACATTGCTCCTTAGAAATGATGCCTGTGGAGGGGATATAGACTTGGAGGATGATGTTTGCTTAGAAGGGAGCCATGGCAAATAAACATCCTGAAGTTTCTAAGATTTCAAGCCTAATTCAATAATGGGATTATGGCTAAATTGCTAAACTTAAAATAATTGCCTTATGAACAGTCACATTGATTATGACTAAAAAGGACAGAGGATTTGTGTTCTATTTTTAGAGTAGATATACGGCCTTTGTTGGGGAGGCTGAGGGATGCATTTAATCAATCAATCTTCTGAAAGTATAAACTGTGTGATGTGTGGATGTGAGGTGAGAGAAAACAGCTCCCTACCTCCGGAAGCTCTTAGCTGCACAAGTAGGGAAGAAAACATTAATGTTATTGTCTGAATGTTTGTGTCTTCCCCAAATTCACATGTTGAAATCCTAACCCCCAATGTGAGGCGTTGGGAGGTAGAGCCTTTGGGAGATGATTAGGTCATGAAGGCGGGTACCTTATCAGTGGGATTAGTGCCTTTATAAAAGAGACCCCAGGAGAACTAGTTCTTTTCTTTTTACCACCTGAGGACACAGTGAGAAGGTGCCATCTATCATCCAGGAAACTAGCCTTCACCAGACAATGAATTTGCTGGTACCTTGGACTACCCAGCCTCCAGACTGCAGTAAATAAATTTCTGTTGTTTATAAGCCACTCAGTTTATGGCATTTTGTCACAGCAGGCCAAACAGACTAAAACAATTAATACACTTAGAATAATATTGCAATACTAAAAGGTGTGGGACCAGTTACAAGTGCCTCTGAATTCAAAGTGGGAAAGAATAGATGAGTGAGATTTCTGTGATTTAAAAGAGGTGTTAGAAATTGCATGTGAAGGCCAGGCTCCATAGCTCATGCCTATAATCCCAACACTTCACAAGGCTGAGGTGGGCAGATCATTTAAGTCTGGGAGTTCAAGACCAGCATGAGCAACACAGCAAAACTCAGTCTCTACAAACAAACAAACAAACAAACAAACAAAGAAACATTAGCCAAGTGTGCTGGTATATGCCTGTGATCCAGCTACTTGGGAGGCTGAGTGGGAGGATCACTTGAACCTGGGAGGTGGAGGCTTCAGTGAGCCATGATTGTGCCTGTACTCTAGCCTAGATGACGGAGTGAGA
The DNA here is from genome assembly GCF_000001405.40 of Homo sapiens. Classification (NCBI taxonomy): domain Eukaryota; kingdom Metazoa; phylum Chordata; class Mammalia; order Primates; family Hominidae; genus Homo; species Homo sapiens. The sequence goes on along the minus strand of NC_000012.12, from coordinate 31,604,235 downwards.
CCTAATCTCAAAAAAAAAAAAAAAAAAAAAGAACAAGAGAAATTGTATGTAGCAGGGGGCATGGTGGCAGGCACCCATAATCCTAGCTACATGGGAGGTTGAGGCAGGAGAATCACTTGAGCTCGGGAAGTGGAGGTTGCAGTGAGCTGAGATCGCACCACTACACTCCAGCCTGGGTGACAGAGTGAGACTCCATCTCAAAAAAAAAAAAAAAAAGAAAAGAAAAAAGAAAAAGAGAGCGAGAGAGAGAAATCACATGTGAAGTCTGTAACAGAGAACTCAGGTTCAAAGTCTGGCATGTGGCCAGAGTTTAAAGATGCTGGATCCAAAATATACTCAGATCAAGACTGATAGTGTTATTCCGTTGGCTACTGGAGTGTTTTCAACCTTAAGGTTTTTAGATGGAATTGAGAAAGATTACAAATTTGTAACATAAAATCAAGTTAATCACTGAGTAGCCAAATTGGTTTTTTTGATGATTGAAAATTATGCAAACTTTGTTTCATTTCTCTTTTTTTACTTTTTTTTTTAAGAAACAAAGTCTCTGTTCTGTCACTCAGGCTGGAGTGCAGTGGTGCGATCATAGCTCACTTCCACCTGCAACTCTGGGCTGAAGCAATCCTCCCACCTCAGTCTCCCTGGTAGCTGGGGTTATAGGCACATGCCATCACACCTGGCTAATCCTTTCAATTTCATAGTTATTTATACTCTTCAGACTATTTTGAATGTATATATGTACAGCATTATATATCTCTAGGATTTTATTCATTGATATATCCCTGGAACATTACCTGGCATATAGTAGGCATTATAAGAATTGTTGAGTAATTAATGAATGTTCATGCATCCATGTATACATATGCATATATGTATAGTTATTCAAATTAGTCTCACTAATAAGTCATTATAATAGTTACAAATTTGAGTGATTTATATAAGAATAGCCATGATTCACAATGCTGATCATCTTTTCTCACAGAAACACACACGGACTTAAGAAAGAAAGGCTTTGAATTACAAAAAGCAATAGATGCCTGTTGTCAATTTTTAACAATATAGAAATATGAAAAATAACAAATGGAAGCTGTTCAGATGTTTTCATGCACAAACATGTATACAGTTTATTTTTAACACAAAAATAGGAACTATATATTTTTCTTTTCTTGCTTTTTTTTTTTTTGAGATGGAGTCTCATTCTGTTGCCCAGGCTGGAGTGCAGTGTCACGATCTCAGCTCACTGCAACCCTCCATCTCCCAGATTCAAGTGATTCTTCTGACTCAGCCTCCCAAGTAGCTGGGACTATAAGTGCGCACCACCAAGCCTGGCTAATTTTTTGTAATTTTAATAGAGACGAGGTTTCACCATATTGGCCAGGCTGGTCTTGAACTCCTGACCTCAAGTGATCCGCCCACCTCAGCCTCCCAAAGTGTTGGGATTATGGGTGTGAGCCACCACACCCAGCTGTCTTTTCTTGCCTTTTATATTCAGCCATATATTAGATATTTTTTCCATCAGTGTAACCTCATTCTTAGCATGCATTGTATCAGATATACCAGAATCTATTTAACCACTTCATTTTTTGTCTTTTTTATTTTTATTTAAAATTTTTTTTTATATTTTTTACTTTTTATTTTTAATATAGGCAGAGTTCCATCATGTTGCCCAGACTGGTCTTGAACTCCTAGGCTCAAAGGAACCTCCTGCCTCCCAGAGTGCTGGGATTACAGATGTGAGCCACCACACCCAGCTAACTGCTTCCTATTTCCTATTGGTAGGAATAAGATTGTTTCCACTTTTAAATATAATGAGCAATGTTTCAGGGGACGTTGTACACATATTCTTTACTTGCATATTTCTGTAGGAGAAAGTCTGAGATGCAGAATTGATGAATCAGAGGGTATGAGTATTCTAACTTTTGATAGAAAATCTGCATTTTAATTTCTACTCATATACTCTTGATTTTGGTTTGATGGAAGGAACCCAGCCAACCCAGGAAAATACCTTCTGCAGAAGGCTGCTAAAATTTCTTCCTCATCTTGGGCCAGGCGCAGTGGCTCATGCCTGTAATCCCAGCACTTTGGGAGGCCGAGGTGGTTAGATCACAAAGTCAGGAGTTCAAGACCAGCCTGGCCAAGATGGTGAAACCTCGTCTCTATTAAAAACACGAAAATTAGCTGGGCGTGGTGGCACACGCCTGTAATCCCAGCTGCTCAGGAGGCTGAGGCAGGAGAATCGCTTGAACCCGGGAGGCAGAGGTTGCAGTGAGCCGAGATTGCGCCACTGCACTCCAGCCTGGGTGACACAGCGAGACTCTCCTTCTCAAAAAAAAAAAAAAAAGATTTCTTTCTCATCTTATGGGCTGATTTCCAGGAAAGCCTACCTTAGCTGCCTGAAGCTCTAGTGCAGATCACTGTCACATCCTTAAGAAGAGCTAGTTCTGGCCGGTCGCGGAGGCTCACGCCTGTAATCCCAGCGCTTTGCGAGGCCGAGGTGGGCAGATCACGAGGTTAGAAGATTGAGACCATCCTGGCTAATACGGTGAAACCCCGTCTGTACTGAAAATACAAAAAAAAAAAAAAAAAAAAAAAAAAATTAGCCGCGCCTGGTGGCGGGCGCCTGTAGTCCCAGCAACTCAGAAGGCTGAGGCAGGAGAATGGCGTGAACTCGGGAGGCAGAACTTGCAGTGAGCCGAGATCGCGCCACTGCACTCCAGCCTGGACAACAGACCGAGCCTCCGTCCCCCCAAAAAAAAGAAAAGAAGAAAGAAGAGCTAGTTCTGGGGCTTTTTCTAGAATATGGAATTATATTTCTTTCCTTTCAGTTTTTTTTTTTTTTTTTTTGGAGGCGGAGTCTCGCTTAGTCGCCCAGGCTGGAGTGCAGTGGCGCGATCTCAGCTCACTGGAAGCTCCGCCTCCCAGGTTCATGCCATTCTCCTGCCTCAGCCTCCCGAGTAGCTGGGACTACAGGCATGCGCCACTACGCCCGGCTAATTTTTTGCATTTTTAGTAGAGACGGGGTTTCACCGTGTTAGCCAGGATGGTCTCGATCTCCTGACCTCGTGATCTGCCCACCTCGGCCTTCCAAAGTGCTAGGATTGCAGGTGTGAGCCACCGCGCCTGGCCTCCTTTTAGATTCATAAGGTTTTTTTTTTTTTTTAACTGGACGGGATCTTAGAGACTATTCCCCTTATTTTGAGAGTAAACATTCAGTTGAAAGTTAAAGAAAATAACTCAAACTGGCTGAAACAATAAAAGGAATTCATTGGCTCACATTAACTGACAAATTCCAGATATTGAGTAGGCTTCCTGTATGATTTGAGCCAGAGTTTATAATATAGTCTACTTTTCAGTGATATTCTTGGCTCTGCTCCATTCTGTATATTGGCTTCATCCTTGGCCTGGCTTTCCTTGTAAGGCTACTGGTAATTTTGGGACGGTATATATCATATTTACACCCAAGGTAAGAAGAGGATGTTCCTTTCTCCAACTATCAAACAAAAGTTCTGAACCTCATCCTAATTAGGCCAGCTTAGGATAACTGTTCATCCCTGAGTCAGTAACTCTTAAAAGGAATATAGGTTCACAAAGACATCCTAGAGCTAGGTGTAAACCCAATACCATGTGAAGGACATGAACACTACACAACGAAGGAGGAGGGGATGGATTCTGATTAAACAGCCACCTATTAGGGAGGAACTTCCTTTCCTCTTGCCTCACGTTTCCATGTAGAGGAACTTCTACTACAGTAACACTGTTGGCCCCCACTTCACCCCTCCCCTGCCTGCTAGGTTTGCAAAGTAGTTCATGGTCTTCATTTCTCCATTGGATGGCGCTAATCTAATTAAAGTTAGCAAGCATTGGAGAGTCTTCTATTTCCTTCCCACCTGGGGCTTACATGGGACAGCAATACTGAACTAAATGTAGATGCTCTACAGATTCAAATATCCCCTTCGGTGGCCTGAGCCAGGGTTTGGTCAGCGGGAAGAAAAGATTGAAGGGATGGAAAGTAATGTAGCAAATCTCTGCCACAGACCTGCTCTTTCTTCAGATCAGCTTTACCTTTTTTTTTTTTTTTTTTTTTTTTTTTAAAGACAGAGTCCACTCTGTCACCCAGGCTGGAGTGCAGTGGTGCTATCTGCACTCACCACAACCTCCGCTTCCCAGGTTCAAGTGATTCTTCTGCCTCAGCCTCCCGAGTAGCTGGGATTACAGGTGTGCGCCATTGCACCTGGCTAATTTTTGTATTTTCAGTAGAGATGGGGTTTTGCCATGTTGGCCAGTCTGGTCTTGAACTCCTGACTTCAGGTGATCTGCCCACCTCAGCCTCCCAAAGTGCTGGGATTACAGGTGTGAGCCACCGTGCCCAGCCGGCTTTAGCATTAACAGAGGCTACATTTAATAATAGAAACTGTTCTCCATCTGTTGGCATCCTATATCTTATTTCTCAATTGGTTCCAATCTTAGGGAAGAAAGATGAAGTTGTTGATTGACCTTTTAAAACCCAAATCCTGCTGGGTATAGTGGCTCATGCCTGTAATCCCAGCACTTTGGGAGGCTGAGGTGGTAGGATTGCTTGAGCCCATGAGTTTGAGACCAGCCTGGGCAATATAGCGAGACTTTGTCTCTGCTTTTAAAACAACAACAACAACAAAACAACAACAACAACAACAACAACACCACTACCCTGTTTCAGTTTCTGGTCTATTTAGAGCTTTTCCTTCCCATAGATGAGGACACTTGATGTGGATTTTCAGGCCTATCCCTGCCCCATTTTCTGCTACAAATGGGTTCTGCTTGGACCTTCTACCAAGTCCTGTCACCGTCTTTTGTATTTAGACTTTGTCATTGTACGTAGGTCCTTAGAATTTAGCTTCTGCCTTATATGCAAGTGTCTCTCTCCAGGAGCCCTCGGTCCTAGTATCTTGGGTTCCGCTCTGGTAACCTACCTAGGTCTCTAGTTCCTTTTTCAGGCTGGGCCCTTGCAGGTTCCCCTCTACATTAATTTCCTAGGGCTGCTGCAACCAATTACCACAAACTTGGTGGTTTAAATAACAGAAGTTAATTTTCTCACAGTTTTAGATGCCACAAGGCTAAAACCAAGGTGTCAGGAGGGCTGATTCCTTCTGGGGGACCCCCAGGGAGAATCCATTCCATCCCTCTCTCCTAGCTTCTGGTGTCTGCTGGCAATGCTTGGCACTCCTTAGCTTGTGGCAACAACATTCCAAGCTCTGTCTCTGTCTTCACATGATCTTCGCCTATGTGTGTCTCAATATCTCAAATCTCCCTTTTCTTATAAGGACACCAGTCATTGGGTTTAGGGCCCACTCAGCTATAATTGCACTGCATTAAGGATCTCAAGATGAGATCCTCAATTACATCTGCAAATATTTTATTTCTGAATAAGATCACATTCACAGGTATAGGGATTAGGACTTGGACACACCTTTTTGGGGACACAATTCAACCCACTATATCCTCTTGACTTCTTATTACAACTGGAGAGAACCTGTGATTCCATGATAGACTTCCTGAAGCTGCTTGCCTGGAATTTTATATTATATTATTTTACTTTTTGGAGACAAAGTCTCACTCTGTCTCCCAGGCTGGAGCACAGTGGTGCAATCTCGGCTCACTGCAACCTTCACCTGCCTGGGTTCCGGCGATTCTCCTACCTCAGCCTTCCAAGTAGCTGGGATTATAGGTGTGCGCCACCACGCCTGGCTAATTTTGTATTTTTAGTAGAGACAGGGTCTCGCCATGTTGGCCAGGCTGGTCTTGAACTCCTGACCTCAGCTGTTCCACCTGCCTCGGCCTCCCAAAGTGCTGGGATTACAGGTGTGAGCCACCACCCCCCCACCCCCGCCACCTTGCTTGCCTGGATTTCCGAATGCCAGATGCCTTGGATGCTCCTTTCTGTCACCATTTGCAACAACTAAATCTTACGGCCCCTTTTGCTGACCGTGTAGACGCCATCTAGAGATGGTGGCCCACTTTGGATGCTAAGTTTGACTGCCACATTGAACTTCTCTTGTCAACACAGCACAGGCTCAGTGACCCCAACCCCCCTATACCCCTCTCAGTATTTATCATGTCTCATTGAGTGGGCCTGGAACTAGGGTCTGCATATCTCCATTGGCCCTATCTGATTAAAGTGATCATGACCTATTGTATTCTGAAGTGCTACGCAAGAAGTGCTAGACCTCTTGGACTGATTTTCATGACTGGGCGTGGTGGCTCATGCCCACTTTGGGAGGCCAAGGCAGGAGGATCATTTGAGTTTAGGAGTTCGAGACTTACATTGCACACCTGGGCAATGTAAGGATACCCTATCTCTATTAAAAATAAAAATAAAAAGTTGGCCAGGCGGGGTGGCTCACACCTGTAATCCCAGCACTTTGGGAGGCTGAGGCGGGCATAGCACTTGAGGCTAGGAGACCAGCCTGGCTAACATGGTGAAACCCCAGCTCTACAAAAAATACAAACATTAGCCGGGCATGATAGCTTGTGCCTGTGGTCCCGGTACTCAGGGAGCTGAGAGGTGGGAGGATCATTTGCACCCAGGAGGTGGAGGCTGCAGTGAGCCTTGATCATGCCACTGCACTCCAGCCTGGGTGGCACAGTGAGACCTTGACTCAAAAAATAAAATAAAATAAATAAAGAATTAGCTGGGCATGGTGGCATGTGCCTGTAGCTGCAGCTCCTAGGGAGGCTGAGATGAGAGGATCACTTGAGCCTGGAAGATGGAGGCTGCAGTGAGCTATAATCACACCACTGCACTTCGCCCACAATCCCTCGCACTCTTCCTTTCCAACTTGGGCCCCTCAGAATGCCTCCCGCAAAGAAGGGTGGTGAGAAGAATTACAGTTCTGCCATCAGTGAGCTGGTGACCAGAGAATATACCATCAACATTCACAAGCGCATTCATGGAGTTGGTTTCAAGAAGAGTGCCCCTCGGGCACTCAGCGAGATCTGGAAATTTGCCATCAAGGACATGGGAACTACGGATGTGCACACTGATACCAGGCTTAACAAAGCTGTCTTGACCAAAGGATTAAGGAATGTCCCATATGGCATCCCTATGCTTTCAAAAATCTACAGACAGTCAATGTGGATGAGAACTAACCACTGATTGTCGAATATATCAAATAAAATTATAAAACTGCCTTCCAAAAAAAGAAAATCACACCACTGCACTCCAGCCTGAGCAACAGAGAGAGAGAAACTGTCTCAAAAAAAAAAAAATCAAAATAATGAGATAGAGTATGTTAAAATGTCTAGCTCAGTGTCTGGCACACAGAAACAATGAGTTACATATATTGAATACTTTCTATGTTCTAGGGACTGTGCTAAGCACTCTACATGTATTATCTCCTTCAAACTTCACAATAACTTAATTTTGATCTGCACTGGACAAATAAGGAAATTAAAGCTAGAGTAACATTAAGCAGATTGTCTTATAGATACTAAAAGAAGTGAGATTTGAACCCAGGTAGTGAGAGTCTGGAGGTTGTCCCCTTTATCAGCACACCAAACCACCCCAAAACATACTGGTTGAAAAAAAACCAAAATTGAATAAAATTTTTGTAAGAATTTGGATCAGTCCTTGTCAATCAACCAAAATGAGTAGAATTTTAGGAAATGTAAAGTTTTGAAACTTTACAAAAGTTTTTGAAAATGAGTAGGATGCAATAAAAACTGGACATAAATCTTTTGGCTCTTTTTTGTTTGTAAATAGATTTGTGAGTACAATTTTATTTATTTATTTATTTATTTATTTGTTTGTTTGTTTGACAGGGTCTTGCTCTGTTGCCCAGGCTGGAGTGCAGTGGCACAATCTCAGCTCATCAAAACCTCCATCTCCTGGGTTCAAGCGATCTTCCCATCTCAGCCTCCTAAGTAGCTGGGACCAAAGGCATACGTCACCATGCCCAGCTAAGAGGTACAATTTATATATATTAAAATGTATTTGCTAGCCAGGCGCGGTGGCTCACGCCTGTAATCCCAGCACTTTGGGAGGCTGAGGCGGACAGATCACCTAAGGTCAGGAGTTCGAGACCAGCCTGACCAATACGGTGAAACCCTGTCTCTACTAAAAATACAAAAATTAGCCGGGTGTGGTGGCGTGCACCTGTAATCCCAGCTACTCAGGAGGCTGAGGCAGGAGAATTGCTTGAACCCGGGAGGCAAAGGTTGCAGTGAGCCGAGATTGAGCCACTACACTCCTACCTGGGTGACAGAGTGAGACTCCATCTCAAAAAAAAAAAAATGTATTTGCTGTAAGAGTACATTGGGTTTTGACAAATATATCTGTCTGTGAAAGCACTACCACAATCAAGGTACAACATTTTCCCATTGCTCCGGAAAGCTCCCTCCTGCCCTTTTGCAGTCAATTTCCCACCACATCACCTCTGGCCCCAGGCAACCACTGATCTGCTTCCTGCCCAGTCTAGAATTTCATATGAGTAGAGGGATACACTATGGACTCCTCTGTGCCTGGCATCTTTTGCTTAGCATATTTTTGACAGCCATGCACCTTGTGGCATGTATCAGTGGTTCATTCCTCTTTACTACTAAGTAGTGTTCCCTTGTATGAGGATACCAATTTAATTCTCCATTCATCTGGTGATGGACATTTGGCTTATGGATTAGTCAGGAGATAGAAACCAGTAATTTGAACACGAAAATTTATTATAATTGTTAGCTAGTAAAAAGTGGTTAACAACAACAAGGGGTAAAAGAGGGTTCTAAGGTGGCTCAAACCTGTAATCCCAGCACTTTGGGAGACTGAAGCAGGTGGATCGTTTGAGCCCAGGGGTTTGAGACCCGCCTGGGCAACAGGGTGAAACCCTGTCTCTACCAAAAATACAAAAAACTAGCTGGGTGTGATTGCACATGCCTGTGGGTGGTCCCAGCTCTTTGGGAGGCTGAGGTGGGAGGATTGCTTGAGCCAGGGAGGTGGAGGCTGCAGTGAGTCGAGATTGTGCCACTGCCCTCCAGCCTGGGTGAGTGACCCGCCACCCCCCCAAAAAAGAGGGCTGTAAGGGATCGAGAAGTAGCAAATACGATGAGGAGAATGGACTCTCCAAAATATTTAAGTCGTGTTAAGGAGAGGAGAGGTTATTTTTCTCTTTTGATGCTATGACAATCCTTGTCAACACCGTTCTTCACCACCACACTCCAGCCACATATAAACAACCAAGAAAGAAGGGATTGATTGCTAATGTAACTATTTAGAGCCCAAAACATTCATTGGACCACATTTTACTGGTAGTCAGAGTCACCATGTGCCACCAGCTTAGCAGTGCTATCAATCTCTCATTCCTCCACTTCCGCAGACCGTGGCAGGACTCAGCTATCCCAAGCATGCCATGCCGTCCATTTGAGGCTTTACCAGTAAGTCCTTTGGAGACAGCAGATCATTGCTCAGATTTTTGTTCACTGAGCTAATTTACTTCTCTGTCATTATTTCAGAGGACAATCTGCATATAATGATACATAGCTAATTCTTGAGTATCCTTTCAACTTCGTTTCATTGTAGCTTAATGCAGAATATACTTACACAGTGTCATCCTGAAGTGATAATTAAAAAAGTATACGGATATTTTCAAATTAGTGTTTAATTTTGTAATGTGTGACTATTTTCCTAAAAGCTTTAGGAAAGATTTTAGGAATTCTATTTTTATGAGATTAGTATATTTTAATTGCATGCATTGTTTGTTGGTGATTCAATTTTTTTCACCTTAAAAATATTAATGTGGGGCTTACAAACTCATAAATCAGTTACTGGTCAAATTTAAAAAAAAAATGACGTGCCTTGGCTAGTGCAAACAGTAAATCAGTTTTTTTACTGTGTTTGTTTGATTCGCTTGGAATCTAACAAACATTCTGTAAGAAGTTACCACCGAAGACAGGAGAAACAGATACCTGGCACTTCCTTCCTTACTAATGAAATGTTATGCATTTCAGTACTTTCTACGTGAGGAAAAGCAATATTGCATAAGAGTAATTAAAGTGTTCACAATTAGGTCCATACTCTGGTTTCTCTTCAGATCGTATACGTCTTTTGTCTTTTACTAAAGATTTCCGTGGAAGGGAACAATTCTGAGTTTTTGACTAAGTTTTGTTTTGTTTTGTTTGAGACGGAGTTTTGCTCTGTTGCCCAGGCTGGAGTGCAGTGGTGCGATCTTGGCTCACTGCAACCTCTGCCTCTTGGGTTCAAGCCATTCTTCTGTCTCAGCCCCCCAAGTAGTTGGGACTACAGGCACTCACCACCATGCCAGGCTAATTTTTGTATTTTTAATAGAGACAGGGTTTCACCACGTTGGCCAGTCTGGTCTTGAACTCCTGACCTCAGGTGATCTGCCCCCTTCGGCCTCCCAAAGTGCTGGGATTACAGGCGTGAGCCACCGTACCTGGCCTGACCAAGTTTTGAGGCCTTGCATATGTGGAGCTTATTTTTATTTTTATTTATTTTTTAATCTTTATTTTATTATTATTTTTTGAGACAGAGTCTCACTCTGTCACCTGGAGTGCAGTGGCATGATCTTGGCTCACTGCAACCTCTGCCTCCCGGGTTCAAGTGATTCTCGTGCCTCAGCCTCCCAAGTAGAGCTGGGATTACAGGTGTGCACCACCACACCTGGCTAATTTTTGTATTTTTAGTACAGACGGGGCTTCACCATGTGGATCAGGCTGGTCTCGAACTCCCGACCTCATGTGATCCACCTGCCTCGGCCTCCCAAAGTGCTCGGATTACAGGTGTGAGCCACCATGCCCAGCCCAGGACTTATTTTTTAAAAAATGTTACAGATATTAAAGTTTGTATATTTTTCTGGTAGAATCAACAACCTGTTATCACCTAGATAACTGCTCTTCTTTCAACACTCAAATATAAATTGAGGGGCTAAATAGGACCAGAGTTCTGCTAGATACCAGAAAAGTGAAGAACCACAGAGTCCAACTCTTGCTCTGTGGAGTTTACAACACAGCTAAGAAGACACAGAAAAGCCATTACAAGTGTTTTTGAAGAAGTACAGGGTGCAACATGACCTAAAGGTCAATTACCCAGACTGTGGCTCACCCTGATTTCTTGATTCTTCTTGTATTTTCTTTTCTTTTCTTATTTTTTTTGAGACAGTCTTACTCTGTTGCCCAGGCTGGAGTGCAGTGGCGCGATCTCGGCTCACTCTAATCTCCGCCTCCCAGGTTCAAGTGATTCTCCTGCCTCAGCCTCCCGAGTAGCTGGGACCACACGTGCGTGCCACCACACTGGCTAATTTTTTGTATTTTTAGTAGAGACAGGGCTTCACCATGTTGGCCAAGATGGTCTCGGTCTCCTGACCTCGTGATCCGCCCGCCTTGGCCTCCCAAAGTGCTGGGATTACAGACATGAGCCACTGCACCCGGCCAATTCTTCTTATATTTTACTAATTATTATTTTATTGATTTTTTTTTTTTTTTTTTTTTTTTAGTAGAGACGGAGTTTCACCATGTTGGCCAGGCTTGTCTCAAACTCCTGACCTCAAGTGAGCCTCTCGCCTTGGCCTCCGAAAGGACTGGGATTACAGGCTTGAGCCACTGCACCCGGCCTCATTTTATTTTTATAGAGACAGGGTCTCTCACTATTTTGCCCAGGTTGGTCTTGAATTCCTGGACTCAAATGCTCCTCCTGCCTTGGCCTCTCAAAGTGCTGGGATTACAGGCCTGAGCCACCATGGCCAGCCTCTTTCATTTCAAAATTGAAGAAAGAAAGTGAAGATACAAGCTACATTAAATGATGGTATGCACGCACATGTATCTTCTAGGAAGAACATTATTCAGTCAAATAATCGAGGTTCTCTCAGGCAACCTCTCTGGAAGGTTTGCTTGTATGTCTAGTGGTAGATGCCCCAAATCCCCAAAGAAGAAAGCAGGGAGTGGTGTGGAAGGGGTTGCCATGTGGAGATGAATTGCATTCAGTTTTCTATCTTTTAAGTTTTATTTTTACTTACATGGCCGGGCACAGTGGCTTATTATGCCTGTAATCCTAGCACATTTGGGGGCCAAGGCGGGAGGATCACTTGAACCCAGGAGTTTGAGAGCAGCCTGGTCAATACAGTGAGACCCTGTCTCTTAAAAAATTATTTTTTAAATAAATAAATGTTATTTTTTTACTTAGATGGAGACAGAGTCTCCCTCTATTGCCCAGGCTGGTCTTGAACTCCTGGTCTCATGTGATCTTCCTACCTGGGCTTCCCAAAGTGTTGAGTAAATTACAGGTGTGAGCCACTGAGCCCAGCCAGTTTTCTTTCAAAGGAAAAAGAACTGGTTGTCGAGTTCCTTCCGAGAAGGCAAAAGACAGCTGAGCAGGGCAAGAAAGCCGTGCCTTTGGGAGGAGCAGAGTTCATGGTCTAATTCCTGTTGCTTTAGCCTCCGATTGTTACTTGCGGGGAGAGCCGATAACATCGGATGGGTACAGGGCTGCGGAACTGGAGCGCCTTGGCTATTTACACTGACCTGGAAAATGTCAGGATAAATGACAGAAGGCGGGGGTTGGTGACTGCACTCCTTCTAGAAGTCTCAACGCTTTGTGGGTATTGAGTTGTGTTTTTTCCCCCTCACGGTTGACTTGTCACTAAGTCACTAAGGATGGCCTGTAAATGGGGTGACGGCTGGGGGAAGGGAGGACCTTAAAGTGAGACAGGCACCCCCACACAGGTCACAGTTTAAAAGACGATGGTTCAGACCGTTATGCGAAATGATCTCAGAGCGGCTGTTCACCTTCCCCAAAGCTGCATTAAAAGAAATAAGGATGGGTGACAACCCCTTTAGAAGACAGACCCCCACACTGAGGCTAGCCCTCTTATCGGCTGGCCAGGGCGAGGAGGGGTGTGTGCAGGGTCGCCCTCGATGCCGCAGCCGGGGCCAGTGGGCACGAATGCGGCCCCACGCCAGGCTTGGCCTCCGAACCCGCTAGGCGCGCGCGCACGGTAGAAGCGCGCGCCTCCGTCCCTCGCGAGCGCGCCCCCCACCCCTCTCCGTCGCACGCGCCGAGCCCCGGCGCCCCCGCCCGCCCCGCGCTCCCACAGCCCGAGCGCCGCTCAGCTGACCCGCGGGCGCCAGACGCGGCGGCTCTCAGCTCGCGAGCGCAGCTGCGGCTGCGAGGGCCTCTCAGGCCGACACTCCCCCCGCGCCCCTCCCCCACCCGGCCGGGCTCCGGACCCGCCGCGCGCGAGCCCGCGGCCGCTTCCCCCGCGCCGAGCGAGGAGGCAGGCTGCGGCGGCGAGAGGCGGCTGCGCGGCCATGGGCGCGCCAGTGTCGCCCTAGGGCGGGCGCACAGACCACAGCCGGAGCGGTGGTGGCAGCCTCCGCAGAAAGCCTTCCCGGGCGGCGGCGGCGGCGGCCCCTGGAGCAGCGCGGCCGGGATGAGCGGGAGCTGCGCGGCGCCCGGCCCGGGCTCGGGCTCCTCCCCGGCCGCCTGCCGCTTCGCGCACTACTTCGTGCTGTGCGGGATCGACGCGGACAGCGGGCTGGAGCCTGACGAGCTGGCGGGTAAGGCCAGGGCTGCGGCGGCGCTGAGCCCCCTCAGGGGCGCGGGGGACGCTGTGGGGACGCGCGGGAGGCGGGGTGCAGGCTCCAGACAAAGTCAGCTCCCGGTGGCGCCCTCCCGCCGCTTTCTGGCCGAACTGGCGCTCGGGCGCGATTTAATGACATTGTTATTTATTCCGCGTGCGGGCTTTGCGGCTGCGCCCACCGGGGCTTTCGCCTCCAGGCGCTGGGTTATTAATAACAGGCGCGGGGGTGGCCCCAAGGGCACGGACCCCGCCTGGCGCGCCGGCCCCTTCGCTTGCAGCCGCACTCGGAGGCGGCCGGTGAGTCACCGGGCGCGCGGGCTGCCCCCCGACCGCCGTGCCTGCCTCCCACCCGCCAGCCACCCGGCCCCGGCCGCGAAGTTTCGGCCCCGCACGTGACGCGGCTTTCGGGCCTCTTCGGGAGACGGGGAGTCGGACTCAGCTCGGCTCCCGCCGGGGTAGCGTCCGCGGAGGAGCCGGTGGCCGTGCGGAGCGAGCGCGGGGCGGGGACCGGTCGGACTCTGCCCTCTGCGCCGCCTGCCGCTCTGCGGTGCCGGCCAAGTCACCTTTTGGAATCCTGTGGATTTGGCCGCGTCTGGGAGCTGGCAGGGACCTTTGGACGCTCGGGACCCAGCACCGCGCTTTGTTGACACTGCCTACACTGTTCCCGAGTTTAAATTCAGTTGGGTGCACCGTGTGTTAGTGCCTGGTTTTCCCGGAGGGGTACCGGTCCTTCCGCTTGACTCATTTGATGGCGCAGTGCGGGGCTGTGCTGGGCAAACGACGCCGTTAAAAGGGGCCGCTAAAGGGCGATGGGCGGGGGCAGGGCAGCGGAGTGCGCAGTGTCGAGAGGAGGCCGGGGAGAAACAACTGATTTCATTTTTCACGCCTGTTCCTTTCTGCTTGCCTCCGCGGGATCTGAATCTTGATTTGTTGTTGTTGTTAAATGGGTGAGAGAAGTGACATCTACCGCCTGAACTTTGTGTTAAAGACTTAGGTCATAGCCTTTCAGAACAACTTCCTTTGGACAAATAATTCCTTATTGATTGCACTAACGTAAATTTTTCGCTTTTCCTTTGGTGGGGGTGGGGAGACTGGGAAGAATATATTAAATAATAAACAATAGTAAACAAAACTGTTCAGCCTTAAAATACAGTCCCCATCAACCCACGTCTTGGCTATCTTCTTCTTAACTCAGCTTCAGAGCAAAACATTTTCTTTTTTTCATATTCTTCGGAGGTAGAAACACAAAACATTTTCAACAAAAACTGTAAGTCTAGTTTTAGTTAAAAAAAAATTTGGAGAGATAATAGAATACCAAGTTTTTCCGTATGTGTAATTATGTAATCACATTGTTTCTTCAACTAAGATTTCATGTACATGTTAAGAATGGCTTTGTTAAAGGATATGAAGAAAAAATGTCTGCAGAGAGATTTGGAGAGATTCTTCTCGAGATTGGTGAAGGAATATTGTTATTTTTCTAGACTCCTTTCTTCCCTAAAGATCCTAAACATTTGTGGCACCAGGGTCACTTGGAGGCCTTCTGTCAGTGATGACTAATGAAAGGAAAAAAGCCTGTATTTTTCTTTTCCGTTTGCCTACTGAAGCTAAAACTGTACCTTTTAGGTGTGACCTAGGACTCTTTAGGCACAGAGAGAATGATGTTAACAAAACCATCAATTAGACTTTAATGCATTTTTAAGAAACAAACTATGATGTCTCTTTTTGCAAAACTGTGTGAGTGTGGGTGATTGGGATTTCTGCTTCTCATAATATTTAATGTATTCAGGTAATAATGTATTTTGCCTTGTAATATTTCAGTATCATTCATCCAACAGTTTTGAAAGCATCTATCTGTAGTCGGTTTTTTAGGCACTGGGGACAGCTGTGAAGAAAGCAGTCAGAAATCCCTGCCATCATGGAGCATACGTTCTAGTGTAAAGAGATAATGAAAATACAATCATCTCTCCGTAACCATGGGGGATGGATTCTAGAGTGTCCCCCACACCAAAATCCTCGGATGCTGAAGTCTCTTATAATAAAATGTTGTAGCATTTGTATATAACCTATGAACATTTTCCTGTACACTTTGTCATCTCTAGATTACTTACAATACCTGTTACGTTGTAATGTTATGTAAATAGTTGTTATACTGTATTGTTTAGGGAATAATGACAAGAAAAGAAGTCTGTACATGTTCAGTACAGATGCAACCATTGTAGGCCTAACTACATTTTCAATCTGTGCTTGGTTGAATCTGTGGATGCGGAGTCCACGTGAAGTGCCGACTGTATATAGTTCTCCAGATGTTAATAAGTGCTATGAGGAAAAATAAAGCAGGGGAGTGGATTTAGGGACATGCCAGCAGAGTGGTGGGATGGTGGGGTTGTGATTTTAAATAAGATGGTTAGGGAAGGCCTCACAGGGAGGGTGACATTTGAACAGAGCCTTGAAGGACATGAGGAAGCAGGCCAGATGGATCACCTGGGGGCACAGCATTGCACGCAGAAGAAACAGCAAGTGCGAAGACCCTGAGTGGGACAGTCACTAGTTTGTGCTGGTAACAGCAAGGAGTCCAGTATGGCTGGAGCTGAGGGAGAGGGAGAGTAGTAGGTAAGATCAAAGAGAAAGGGCAGGGGAGATTGTATAGGGCCTCATGCAGTTTTTAGGCTTTTAACTCTGAGATGGGAAAGTATTGGAAGGTTTTGAGCAGAGTAATGACAAGATCTGATGTGCCTTCTAAAATGACTGTTGTGGCTGCCATGTTGGGTAGACTATATCAGGGCAGGGGTAGAGGCAAGAGACCAGTTAGGGAGCTCTTTCAGTATTTGAGGTGAGAGGCTGGATGCTGTGGCTCACGCCTATAATCCTAGCACTTTGGAAGGCCGAGGCAGGTGGATCACTTGAGGTCAGGAGTTCAAGACCAGCCTGGCCAATATGGTGAAACCACATCTCACCTGAAAATACAAAAAGCTGGGCGTGGTGGCACATGCCTGTAATATCCCAGTTACTCTGGAGGCTGAGGCAGGAGAATCGCTTGAACCCAGGAGGTGGAGGTTGCAGTGAGCTGAGATCGTGCCACTGCACTCCAGCCTGGGCAACAGAGGGAGACTCTGTCTCAAAAAAAAAAAAAAAAAAAAAAAAAAAAAAAAAAAAAAAGGTATTTGTGGTGAGAGAAGTTGTTGGCTTGGTGAAGCAGCAGGAAGGACTCAGATTCTAGATAGATGTTGAAGGTAGGCCCAACGAGATTTGCTGATGATTTATATGAATATGTATGAATTCTATGAATATGGTAGTCATATTCAAAGAAGTGATCAAAGATGACTCCAAGATTTTGGGGCTGAACAATTATAAACTTCTCTCCTGAAATAGGAAGACTGATGGAGAATCAGACTGGAAATCAGTTCAGTTTTGGATGTATTAAGTTTGATGTGTCCATTAGACATTCAAATGGAGATGTCACATAGACAAGACATCTCTTGGGGGAAGATCTGGACTGTAGGTATAAATTTAAAGCCATGAAATTACTTAAGGGTTGAGTATAGATAGAAAAGAGAGGAGGACACGCAAATGATTGAGCCCTGGGGCCATTCTAGCATGCATAGGTGGGGAGGATGAGGAGGAGGAGGCAACCGAGGAGATTAAGGAGTGTGGATAGTGACATGGCAGGAAAACAGGAGAATGTCATATCATGTTCTCAACTAAGAATTTTCTTGACTATTTCCGTAGAGCAACATTTGGGGATCATGAAACTGTGTTAGGCAAATTAGCCAGAAGGTAGTTTCTGTTTTGCTGCATTAATTTCAAAGTTAATGATAGTCAAGTTTCTATTTTGCCTTGCTGGAGCTGATCTGTCTTTATCACACTTTCTTAGCAAGTTGTCACCGTGCCTCTAGAAGGTCTTAATTGACTTCTATTAAACATAAATTCTACCAGTTGCTTCATAGACTTTCTTAACATACGCATATTCCTAGAATTCACACTCTGCAGGTGGTGGGACATTGAAATCAAAGACAACAACAGTTAAATAGACTAAGACCTTATAATAAAACTTATCAAGGCTTCAAATGGTTTTTAGACCCTCCTAGTAAAACCAAGCTTAAACAGCAATGGAAGAGACTTCTTTCATCTCAAATACGTAGAACTCTTAATAGCTGAAAATAATTTAACTATATACATAAAAATATATTTTAAAATGGAGGACTTAGAAACTTTATGGTGATGTCCACATGTATATACTGATATACTCATATTACCTGTCGTCCTTTCTGTACCACATCGAAGTTCTTGTGCTTCTCCTACCCACTGTATATTTTCAAGAGGTACTTTGCCCATGAACAAAACGTCCTTTGGGAGAAATGTTTAAATTCCCTTTAAATATTAAAGATAAGGAAAAGGTTTCAAAACGAGATTCTTTATTGCATGTAGAAGAAAGGAGGTATAAATGGAGGTAAATCATGCAATTAGTTGATGTCAGGGAAGGCAGACATCATTTTGAAATCTTATTTTATAGCTTTTATTTCCTTTAAGACCTGGCTGTAGGAGTACACATGGCTTAATTTACAGCAGTCAATCTTTTGAGCAATGGGAAAATGAAGGACATGATAAGGCCTTGATTAAGTAAAATAAATATACAAGCCCTCTAAGAGAGAAGGGACTTTGCCTCTTTCGTAGTACCTTATATACAGTACACAGTGTTTAATAAGGGAATGAATATAAGTTTACATGAGTCTACAAATTATGTGATGACCAGAATATTCTTAAAGTGTTCCCTTGGTAGCCTGGATTCAGCCCTCCTAATAGTTGTCGAAGTCTGATGGATGAGATCTCTGCCATAGAACTTTGTTTAGATCTTTTCCTTAGTGTCTCTCTCTAGCTATTTTTAGCTTTGGTTGTGTTGGGTGTGGTTTTCAAAAGAGCGTAGAGACGGTGGAGACCATGATCTGAATTCAAATAAGCAGAACATTTAGTCAAGACTGACAGAATATCATGTCACGTTAGTTCTTGAAGGGACCTTAGACATATTTATGGTAAAGAGACTGAGGCTCAGAGATTAAGGGCCCTCTCAGATTACATTTGATCAGCAGTAGACACCTGACTAGTGCCTGGTGGTTCCAGTCCACTATGCTCCATAGTTATTCTATTTAAACTCAGAAAAAAGATGAGCTTGACTCATTCAACAAGCATTTCAGGATTGCCCTTATTCCAGACTGAATGTCATAGTCAAGACTGTGCTGAAGTGTGTTTTTTAAAAACAGTGGCCGGGTGTATAGGCTTAATTGGGATAGAAGCTGCCGTGATCCAAATACCATTGATACTGTGTCAATTGTTAGCTTTGTTGACATCCTTGGCTCACAATAGGTTCTTGGGAGTTTGGAAGGTCTGCCCCGGGTAGCTCAGGGGCTGGGGAAGGAGTAGTACAGGGATCAGCCTTCATTTTAATGAGGCCAAAGAAGATTCAAGATCTGGTTGCTGTGTGCTAGTTTGGCTCTTTGTCCCCAAACCTCATGTTGAAATTTGATTCCTAATGTTGGAGGTGGGGCTTATTGGGAGATATTTGGGTTATGGGGGCAGATCCCTCGTTAATGGCTTGGTGCCCTCCTAGAGGTAATGGGTGAGTTCTCCCTTTATGAGTTCCCACAAGAGCTAGTTGTTAAAAAGAGTCTGGCACCACTCCCCTACCCTCTTCGTTCCTCTCTCTTGCTATGTGATCTCTAATTGGCTAGCCTTCTGCCATGAGAGGAAGCAGCCTGAAGCTCTCACCAGAAGTAGATGCTGGCGCCATGCCTCTTGCGTAGTATAGCCGCCAACTATTTCTTTTCTTTTTCTTTCTTTTTTTTCGGGGAGGGTGGGTGGGGGGTGTGGGACAGAGTCTCTGTTACCCAGGCTGGAGTGCAGTGGTGCAATGTTGGCTTATTGCAGCCTCAATCTCCTTGGGCTCAAGCAGTCCTTCACCTCAGTCTCCCTAGTAGCTGAGACCACAGGCATGTGCCACCATGCCTGGCTAATTTTTGTATTTTTTGTAGAGATGGGGTTTTGCCATCTCTACAAAGATGTTGCCTAAGCTGATCTCAAACTCCTGAGCTCAAGCAGTCCACCCATCCTTGGCCTCCCAAAGTGCTGGGATTACAGGCAGTGAGCCACCATGCCTGGCTGCGCCATTTCTTTATAGACTACCCAGCCTCAGGTATTTTCTTTATAGCAACACGAAAACAGACTAAGACACTGTGGTATAATGATCATTTAATTTTGGAAATCTACTGGAAATAAAACTCTTTATAGTGAAATTGGCCCAAGAGTGAGTGAAGCTAAATTCTCTGTGATAACCCCAAGGCTCAGGCTTATGGCCCATTTTGTTAATACAGGACACACCAGCATAGACAACTGGGAAGACAAGGGAGGGGAAGAGGGTGAGACATAGTGTCTTTGAGGGAGGAGAGAAAGGGAAAGAAAAGGGGACAGGGAGAGAGAAAGGAGGCTGGAGGAGTACAAGTTCTGTTTGCTGCTAAGGTGTTAAGACAGACTGTCCTAAAATTCCTGTGCACATCCTTTTGCTTGTATTTCCACTGTTGGTCACAGATACTCTCAGAGTAATAAAAGTAAATATCTAGAATACAATGCATTGTTAGTCATGATTTCCATAAAGCTTCATACGGAAGAAAACAATTTCCTCTTCTATAATTTACTGAATGGTAGAGATGGTTCTATACAGGATGCTTTAGGAAACGTGCCATATGCCTGATCCTTAGCATTTTTGTTTAATAATGACCTAAATTTTGTTTTTGGTAAAACCATAACTAGCTATTATATTTTGGATTATTTAATGTTAAATGCTTACAGTGTGTCAGATTCTGGAGTACATACGTAAGTGGTGGCCACTGTCCTATAAGAATCTGTGATGAAATAGTAAAATAGCTAACATTTATAGAGTGCTTTCCACATGCCAGACACTGTGCTAAATTCTTGTTGTTGTTGTTGTTTGTTTTTGTTTTTGTTTTTGTTTTTTCCCAGACACAGTCTTGCTCTGTTGCCCGGGCTGGAGTGCAGTAGCGTGATCTCGGCTCACTGCAACCTCTGCCTCCCAGGTTTAAGTGATTCTCGTGCCTCAGCCTCCCAAGTAGCTGGGACTACAGGTGCGTGCCACCATGCCTGGCTAATTTTTGTATTTTTTGGTAGAGACGGAGTTTCATCATGTTGGCCAGGCTGGTCTTGAACTCCTGACCTCAGGTGATCCTCCTGCCTCGGCCTCCCAAAGTGCTAGGATTACAGTTGTGAGCCACCCCACCCAACCACTGTGCTAAATTCTTTATAGTCAGTACCTCATTCAGTCTGGACAACAACCTTAGGAAATAGGCATTCTTTTCTCTCTCTCTCTCTTTTTTTTTTTTTTTTAAAAGACTGAGTCTCACTCTGTCGCCCAGGCTGGAGCGCAGTGGCGCTATCTCTCCTCACTGCAATCTCCGCCTCCCGGGTTCAAGTGATTCTCCTGCCTCAGCCTCCTGAGTAGCTGGGATTACAGGCACACGCCACCACACCTGGCTACTTTTTGTATTTTTAGTAGAGATGGGGTTTCACCATGTTGATCACGCTTATCTAAAACTCCTGACCTTGTGATCCACCCACCTTGGCCTCCCAAAGTGCTGGGATTACAGGCGTGAGCCACCACGCCTGGCCTGTTTTCTCTTTTGTACACAGGAGGAAACTGAGTCTAGAGAATGAATACTTTACTTCAGTTCCTATAATAAGTAAGAAGCCTGGATTGAAGATCTGTCTGACATAATTCATCCATACCCATAACATCCATACCCATAACCACTATATTTGCTGTCTCCCTAGTAACATATGCTGTATCATACAGATTGTAAAATCTACCAGAATATAGATCCCAAATGGGTAACCTTATCGTCAAGTGAAATTATCTTCTTATTCCTCTATATGGGAAAGATATTAAAGGCGACACTATCGGGCAGGCCTTTATGACCTGACCTAGCTTGTTTCTTCTTTGGTCAGCACTAGTAATTTCTCTTGCATGCATTTCCTCATTCATTCATCACAGATTTAGATTTAGAAGATTATATATTTAATGATATTTTTGCTTTTGTCAATGAATATTTTTAAAGATAAGGTGTTACTGTATAAAGGCTTTTACTATGAAATATACCACTTTTAACTTTTTAAAAAACCTCTTTGCTCTTCTTACTGGGTTTTATCATTTCTTAGCATAAATAATTTGTCATTAGGTGAGTTTATAGTTTTTTAAAGGAATGTATGAATGCTTGTGAAACCATAGCTGGCAGGGCAGTGAGTACAGCAGTTAGAGCTGAATGCACAGTCAGAAGCTGAGATTCCATTCCTGGCCTGTCACTTATGACAGCCGCAGGCATCAGTGTTCTCGTCTGTCTTGAAAAGGGTTAAATGAGATGAATGATTTCTAACTACCACCCTTGGGGCCTGAAATTGTTTTTGAGTAAAAAAACTAAGTTTATCTGTTAAAAAAAAATTAATCCTAAATGTCATAGAACAAGAGGACGAGTACACACCACATGTATAGTCAGCCCTCCATGTGTGTGGGTTCCACATCTGTGGATTAAACCATCATCAAATTGAAAATACAGTGTTCCAAAAAAAATAAAAACCAAAAATTGTGGTTGCATGTACGTGTTTTTTGTTCTCGCTATTGTTCCCTAAACAATACAGCATAACAACCATTTACATGGAATTTGCATCGTACTGAGTATTATAACTAACCAGGAGGTGACTTAAAGTGTACGGGAGAATGTGCGTATGTTATCTGTACGTACTACACGATTTTATGTAAGGGGCTTGAGCATCCTGGGAGTCTTGGAACCAATCCCACACAGATACTGAGGGATAACTATACCACATGAGGAGCGATTAAGTAATTAGAAAATCAGCCACCAGGAAAGGGAGAAAATCAATTAGTTTATACAGTTCCCTTTCCAGAAAAGCTACTTTTTTTTTTTTTTTTTTTGAGACAGAGTTTCCCTGTTGTTGCCCAGGCTGGAGGGCAATGGTGTGATCTCGGCTCACCGCAGCCAGCGCCTCCCAGGTTCAAGCGATTCACCTGCCTCAGCTTCCCGAATAGCTGGGATTACAGGCATGTGCCACCATGTCCCTCTAATTTTTTTTTGTATTTTTAGTAGAGACGGAGTTTCACCATGTTGGTCAGGCTGGTCTCGGGCTCCCGACCTCAGGTGATCTGCCCGCCTCGGCCTCCCAAAGTGCTAGGATTACAGGCCACTGTGCCTGGCCGAAAGCTACAATTTTTAAGAAGCATTTTGAAATCTTAATGTCAATTAATGGACTCCCAATTATTATCTACATGGACTTTTAAGGACCCAGGGGTTCCTGTTTGAAATTACTGTACTAATCTCTAGATTATTACTGTAGTATGGATGATACTGCCAGTTCCCAAATATAGTCATTGAGATCTTAGAATAATTTTTTTCTACTTAAAATTCTCTAATAACTTCCTTTGTATTTAGAATAAGATTCAAACTTTTAGGTATTTGTTTATAACAAATAAATATTACATTTATTTGTTTATTTATAACAAGAGTGAGACAGGGTCTTGCTCTGTTGTCCAGGCTGGAGTGCAATACTTCAATCACAGCTCACTGCAGCCTCAACCTCCTAGGCTCAAGTGATCCTCCTACCTCAGCCTCCCAAGTAGCTTGGACTGTAGGTGTGCACCACTATGCCTGACTGATTAAAAAAATTTTTTTTGTAGAGATGGGGTCTGTGTTGCCCAGGGTGGTCTTGAACTCCTGGGCTCAAGGGATCCGCCCATCTTGGCCTCTCAAAGTGCTGGGATTACAGGGGTGAGCCACTATGCCTGGCCTATGTGTGGATTTTAAAAACTCTAAAATGGACCAGGCGCGGTGGCTTAGCCCTATAATCCCAGCACTTTGGGTGGCCGAGACGGGTGGATCACTTGAAGTCAGGAGTTTGTGAGCATGCTCACCAACATGGCGGAACTCTGTCTCTACTAGAAATACAAAAATTAGCTGGGCGTGGTGGTGTTTGCCTGTAATCCCAGCTACTCGGGAGGCTGAGGCACGAGAATCGCTTGAACCCAGGATGTCAAGGTTGCAGTGAGCTGAGATTGCGCTGCTGCACTCCAGCCTGGTTAACAGAGTGAGACCCTGTCTCAAAAATTAAAAATAAAATAAAATAAATAAAAACAGTAAAATGGAAGCTAGAGTTTTCTTAAAAATGAGAAGCTTGAGATTGATGAAAAAGCAAGATAATGGATAAATGATTTCTAAAAAAAGGTATCTAACAGCTTTGTGAAGGGCTAATAAAATTTCTTTCAACTATAAAATGTATTAGCCTATTCCTTTCCTCTTCAAATAAGATACGGTAAATAAAATTAACCATTTTTACCAGGTATATGCAAGCAAGCATGCAGGTACCAACAAGGCTTTGATTTTTTTTTAAGCAAACATGTCTTATTTATTTATAAACTAGTGCCAAGTGATGAGCATGTAAATGATGGGCAGTATTTATGAAATTTCAGAAAGTGGTTGTACTAAAGAGCACTTGTAGCTTCAGTTGTGGTTTTAAAGGAATATCTTAGGAAACTGCATTTACAGATTTGTTCTTCATGGCACCTACATCAGCTTTGGGCACAGTCAGTCAGTACAGTTCTCTTTGTTTCAATAAAGTTTAATCCTATATATATATTTTTTTATATATATTTTTTTCTGTTTATACTCTCCTATTGTGCTTTACAATGCACTGTTCTACCTAAGGCTTGACTTTTTAAGATGGCACCATGTAAGGTCCTCTTGGCCAGAGATTCCAAAAATTTTTGATATGGGACTGTCTTTCCCCATTACTCTTCTCTCTTCTCTCTTCTCTCCTCCCTCCCTCCCTCCCTCCTTCCTTCCTTCCTCCCTTCCTCCCTCTCTCCCTTCCCTCCCCTCCCCTCCCCTTCCCTCTTTCTCTCACTCTTTCTCTCTTTCTCCTTTTCTTTCTCAGAATCTCGCTGTGTCTCAAAAAAATAAATAAATAAATAAATAAACCCAGGCTAGAGTGCAGTGGCGCAATCTCGCCTCATTGCAGTATCTGCCTCCTGGGTTCAAGTGATTCTCCTGCCTCAGCCTCCCAAGTAGCTGGGACTACAGGCACTCGCCACCAAGCCTGGCTCATTTTTGTATTTTTAGTAGAGAAGGGGTTTCAGCTTGTTGGCCAGGCTGGCTTCAAACTCCTGGCTTCAGGTGATCACCCCCCTCGGCTACCCAAAGTGCTGGGATTACAGGCATGAGCCACTGCGCCTGGCCTCCATTACTTTTCAAACAAAATGCAGCGATGACTGGTTGAGTGTGAGGAGGTAAGAACTCAGAATTCTAGGAATGAAAGTATTAGTATTTTATCTGCTGCTGAGACAGCACATCCTGAGGATAGAAGAGGCCGCAAGATTAGCTTTCTCAGATGTTCTGCACCTTTTCCAAGAATCTATGACTTTACTAACTTTATTTGAAATTAACTCTTGTAACTATTTTTACTAACATGGGTTTCTTGGGTTACCTTTTATTTTTCTGTTAGAAACTTGTGTATATCACTCATGCAGAAAGCTAATTTTGAAATAATGCTTTATTTAAATGACTTTCAAAGATATGTGCTAGCATTATTAAGTCAGAAGTAATCCCAGGAAGTCACCCTTATTCTATGATGCTATGAAAATAGCTAACATTTATGAGGCATGAACTGTGGTTGGTGATTTATAAACGCTAATTCTCACAATAACTTGAAAATATGACTTTTCTCATTTGATAGATGAGAAGGATGACATTCAGTGAGTTGCCCAAAGACAGGAAAGGCCATAGCTTGGATTCCATCCCAGGCTGTCTGGCTGCAAACTAGCCTTTTTTCCTACGCCCTGCTGCCCCTCTGAGTCCTTCAGACCAGCTGTCCTCAACTGCTGGGTGGTGACACATTAATGGGCCTACTGTTCATGAGCTAGGTCACAAGTAATTATTAACAGTAGTAGACATACTGAGGTTATGATATATATTTTAAAATAAGTGGAATGGATTCAAGGTCTTCCCTCTAATGATATTATTTTTATTCAGTTCCATTCCTGTATGCTTTTACTGGGTGGGAGAGAAAGGTGGCATTATATGCATCAAACCAGTAATTGTGCATAGCCCCATACATAATGGGAAATCTATTTTATGCTACTGGTAAGCTACCGTTACTGATGAGCTATGAATAGTTTCCACATATTAATAAAGCCTTTTAGGAATATCACTGCAGAAGTAGTCAGTCTGTTTGCTTTACTTTCCTCTAGAAAACTATTTTGTGCATTATCTGAGGACACCCATGGGAGTGTGTGTCTCAACACTTTTGCTGATCTGGATTGTTTCTAGATACTTTTCTCAATTATACAATGTGACAGTGTTTTGGAAAGAGTATTTATAAATTACAATAAAAAATGATCCAAAAGGTGATCTGAGCTAAAGACGAACAAACAAAAATGTGATGGAGTTAATAATGTTAGGGTTGTAGTTTTTTTTTTTTTTTTTTTTTTTTTGAGACAGCGTCCCACTTTGTCCCCCAGGCTGGAGTGCAGTGGCATGATCTTGGCTCACTTCAGTCTCCACTTTCTGGGCTTACGCAGTACTCCTGCCTCAGTCCCCCAAATAGCTGGGACTATAGGTGTGTGTGCTACCACGCCTGGCTAATTTTTGTATTTTTTGTAGAGATGGGGTTTCACTATGTTGCCGAAGCTGGTCTCGAACTCCAGAGCTCAAGCTATCAGTCTGCCTCGGCCTCCTAAAGTGCTTAGGTTTACAGGCGTGAGCCACTGCACTGGACCCTGTAGAATTTTTTCATTCAGTTCTGCTGTGAAGACTGAAGTGCTGAATCCTTAAATATAGTTTGTGGACCTCTAGATTTTAAACTGTGAAACCCAGTTTAAAGATTTTTTTTTTTTTTTTTTTTTTTTTTGAGACAGAGTCTCGTTCTGTCGCCCAGGCTGGAGTACAGTGGCGCAATCTCAGCTCACTGCAAGCTCTGCCTCCCAGGTTCACGCCGTTCTCCTGTCTCAGCCTCCTGAGTAGCTGGGACTACAGGCGCCCGCCACCACGCCTGGCTAATTTTTTGTATTTTTTAGTAGAGACGGGGTTTCACCATGTTAGCCAGGAAGGTCTCGATCTCCTGACCTCGTGATCTGCCTGCCTCGGCCTCCCAAAGTGCTGGGATTACAGGCGTGAGCCACCGTGCCCGGCCTAAAGATATTTTTAAGTTTAAATATTTTTAAGTTTAAATCTATTTTTATAGATTCCCAGAGACCTTCTGATGAAAATCCACTTAATTTTGCTTAATTTTTTCCTGTCCATGCCTGGAGAATCCAGGTTTCTGCTTTGTAGACTATATTTTCTTGCCCCTCCCTTCTCTTCCTCTTTTCTAGTACAACATACTCTGTCATTTATTTAAACAGGAAATTATCCTATAGTTTGAGAAAACATCAATGTAGAAGTGATAATGTAAATTAAGTAAATTTCTGATCATCTTAATTCCTCAGTACAGCTTGACACAAGATTGCTCATAGACCAGGCTTTTGTACTTTTTTTCTCTAATCCCTTCTTCAAAGATCACCCTTATTTTCACCTTGGTCCTCATGATGCCACCTCTTATTGCTCTTTTGGTTGTCCCTTTTTGAGAAAAACCTGTAGAAGAAGAAATATTCTTTTGACAAAAAAGTTCTTGTATCATTATGTAAAACCTCATAGTGAAAAAGCTCGCTCTTTTTTTTTTTAGAAATAAGGTCTCACTCTGCTGCCCAGGCTGGAGTGCAGTGGTGTGATCATAGCTCACTGCAGGCTTGATCTCCCAAACTCCTGGGCTCAAGTGATCCTCCTGCCTCAACCTCCTGAGAAGCTGAGACCACGGCTGTGCGCCACCATGACCAGCTAATTAAAAAAAACATTTTTTTTTTGTAGAGATGGGTTCTTGCTTTATTGCTCAAGCTGGTCTCGAACTCCTGACTTCAAGTAATCCTCCCTCCTCATCCTACAAAAGTGCTGGGATTATAGGTGTGAGCCACCACGCCTGACCTGAAAAAACTCTTGGAAATGTCTGTCTGAATCTTCCATTTACCTTCATTTCTAGCAGAAACTGGGAAATTTCTTTTTTTCTTTTTTCTTTTCTTTCTCTCTTTTCTCTGTCTCTTTCTTATCTTTCATTATTATTACTTTTTTTTGAGATGGTGTGTTGCTCTGTCTCCCAGGCTGGAGTGCAGTGGCATGATCACGGCTCACTGCAACACACTCTGTCTCCCGGGTTCAAGCGATTCTGATGCCTCAGCCTCCCGATTAGCTGGGATTACAGGCGTCTGCCACTACGCTTGGCTAATTTTTGTATTTTTTAGTAGAGACAGAGTTTCACCATGTTGGCCAGACTGGTCTGGAACTCCTGACCTCAAATGATCCACTCACCTTGGCCTCTTAAAATGCTGGGATTACAGGTGTGAGCCCCTGTGCGCGCGGCCTCATTCTTCTTTTTTTTTTTTTTTTTGGAGACAGAGCCTTGCTCTGTCACACGGGCTGGAGTGCAGTGGCACAGTCATAGCTCACTGTAACCTCAACCTCCCTGGCTCAAGCAGTCCTTCCACTTCAGCCTCTTGAGTAGCTGGGACTACAGGCATGTGCCACCATGCCTGGTTAACTTTTTTCTTTCTTTCTTTCTGTTTTTTGAGACAGTCTTGCTCTGTCTCCCAGGCTGGAGTGCAGTGGCGTGATCTTGGCTCACTGCAACCTCCGCCTCCCGTGTTCAAGTAATTCTCATGCCTCAGCCTCCCAAGTAGCTGATATTACAGGCATGTACCACCGTGCCCTGCTATGTGCCTGGTTAATTTTTAAATTTTTTTGTAGACATGGGGTCACACTGTGTTGCCCAGGCTGTCTCGAACTCCTGGACTCAAGCTATCCTGCCTGGGCCTCCCAAAGTGCTGGAATTACAGGTGTGAGCCACCACATCCAGCCTGAAACTGGGCAATTTCTTATATCTCACATCTTTTCGGGTTTAGTACCTTTTATTTCCAGTATCTGTTCAGTTTTCTTCCTCTTCCTTCTCTTGTGGTCCTTTGAGAAAACAGGGACAATCTGCTAGTCTAAGGATATTCTTTCTAGATATTAAATTTATATCAATTTTTTATTGCTGTAGATCAGGACTAAAACAGCAAAAAGGAATTGTTTCCTTTGGGCAGAGATGTGACTTGCTTTTGAAGGGGGAAGTGGGTAGTCACAATCTACTCTTACGTAATTCCCTGATGTAGTCCTCCTTTGTTACAAGAATCAGCACCAACATTATCAATTGGAATTCTATGAGAATGACATACTAACTTTAATAAGAATACATTGAGCAGTAGGAATTTATGGCTGGTTATAGGTTTAAAGCTTGTAGGTGATTTACTTTTAGAACCACAGTGTTTTCTATTTTTAGGTTAAGTTATCCTCAACTTCAACTCTAACTTTTAAGGAAATATAAATGGCTGGGGTAACAAGATAACAGATTGTTTAAAACTATTTCCTATCTCCTGTCTCAAGTGTATGTATTTTCTTAATAAATAAACTTTTGTCAGGATTTCAAAATATTCTTGCTCAGCTCGAGGAAAATGAACTTTCACACTGGACTTAACTTGTTTTGTGCCATTGTTCACCAGAACAATGACTGTGATTTCACAGTTAAAACACAGGCATTGGTACCCTTGAGGTGACTATGTGAAAATAGGTTATTTTGTTTGGTCATTCTCACTCCTGTCTGGCAGTGCTTCATTTTTTCACTGGCAGCTCTAGCTACAATCTGATTTTAATTAAATATGTGAAAGCTGTGTGTACTAGAATGTAAAATCTTGTATATTCTTCATAGTGAAGGACTGACAGGACCCGTTTACAGTGAACCACTTGTAAATCATCTTGTTTCTGGTGGATGGGGCCAATGGGGAAATAATTAAAGTATTGAGTGTATGGAGAGGATAGAAGTTGGTAGAAAACAAAAACTTAAGAACCATACTGGTGATTCCAAAATTCCCCCTCCACCTCCCTTTTATTATTTTATTTTTTATTTTGAGGCAGAGTCTCGCTCTGTCACCCAGGCTGGAGTGCGGTGACGCAATCTCAGCTCACTGCAACCTCCGCCTCCCAGGTTCAAGCGATTCTTCTGCCTCAGCCTCTCGAGTAGCTGGGACTACAGGCATGCACCAGCATGCCCAGCTAACTTTTGTATTTTTAGTAGAGACAGGGTTTTGCTGTGTTGCCCAGGTTGGTCTCGAACTCCAGACTTCAAGAGCTCCACCCGCCTTGGCCTCCCAAAGTGCTGGGATTACAGGGAGCCACCGCGCCTGGCCACCTCCCTTTTAAATTATTATTATTATTATTATTATTATTATTTTTTAGAGACAGGGTCTCATTCTCTCACCCATGCTGGAGTGCAGTGGCGCGATCACAGCTCACTGCAGCCTCGATCTCCCGGGCTCAAGTGGTTCTCTTGCCTCAGCCTTCCGAGTAGCTGGGACCACAGGCACATGCCACCACACCTGGCTAATTTTTTTTTTTATTTTTGTAGAGACAAGATCTCACCGTGTTGTCCAGGCTAGTCTCAAATGGTCCTTGCCTCAAATGGTTCTTCCACCTTGGCCTCCCACTGTTGGGATTTCAGGCATGAGCCACTGTGCCTTTTTTTTTTTTTTTAAGAGATAAAGAGTCTCCCTTTGTTGCCCAGAATGGAGCACAGTGGCTATTAACAGGCCATCATAGCTCACTACAGCCTCAACCTCCTGGGCTCAAGGGATCTTCCTGCCTCAGCCTCCTGGGATAGCTGGGACTAATGGCGTGCACCACGGTGCCTGGCCAGAATTCTCTTTATCTCTTTGATACCTCTATCACCCTCTCTGCCACTTAGAACACAAAATTTGTGGTTAGAGTAGAAGTGGTAGAGGGATAGCCAGCAAATGCCCTAGACCCCAGAGCTTCTGTAGATTTAATTGTCCATTGAAGAATCATGGAGTCATTATAAGAGTCTCTTGCACAAGTGTTGAGCCTACTTAATGAATATTGAACGAAATTACATTCACTTTTCCCTGGAATGAAATCTCTAAGCAAGAGTAAAAATTTAGCTTTTTCTGAATGTGAACATAAGGCCATGAAGTAGACATACCTTGTTGAATCATTATGGGGCAGAGGCCCAGATATGAAATGTCTGTTGACATGTATGCACATTCAGTATTTATTTCAGTGCCTTATTGAACTCTATTGAATAGGTCAGGTGACAGCTTTTATCTGAACATCAGTCTTTGAGGGACAGTTGAAGCACTGGTATATGTGTGAGCGAGAGATTGGTGTTTTTTTCAAATGTAGAAGAGGTAACTTCTTACATTTTTTGCTCTTAAAAGTATATTATTTCATAATATTCAAATTTGCCTTGGGATTTAAAGTATAAATTGTCATTTTAGTAACACAATTGAATATTTTTTAATATCTCTGAACTAATGAGATACAGTTTTCTTTCAAGTGTGGGAACTATTTTGTACCCTGTTCCCTGACCTCTGCCTTTTGACCCTGTCACTTTGTGATGAGATTATAGATAGGCCTTTGAGCTTTTCTCCAGTCTGCTCAGGTTTCCTTACACAGCAACATATAAAGCTTTAAGGTCCTTTAAAAGATGCTCTTAGAATTAAAGAGAACATTCAGATTTAATTGGCATGAGTTTCGTAAATATTTTTTCTTTAAAAAGTCTTTTTCTTCCTTAATGCTTTCCTGTCCCCCAAATCTATTTAATTATGTTTTCTAAAATGGTATATTTCGGGAGAGGCTAACAATTAGAGCTTTCTAGGATAAGGAAATCCAAGAGAGATTCAACTGTTTATTCCCTATTTGTTGTCTCTAGGTATGAGAAGTTAAAATCCAGAATTAGAGGGTGTCATACAAGAGCAGGAGATTTTTTTCAGAGAGAATCAGTGCTTTAACCTTCTTATAATAAGCACTTTTTAGATAACACCTTTTAGATACTTTTTCAGATGCCTAAAATAGAGTAGGAAGAGAAACAAGGACAGAGAAAAGGAGACTGATTTCATTGGCTATGTGTTAATAACTCGTGAGTTTTTTTTTTTTTTTTTTTTTGAGAAAGAGTAAAATTAGTGACAAAAATAAGGGCTTGGGGATTTGATATTTATTTTGTTATTGTTTTACATCCTATCTTCAAGATTATCCAGAAAATTAAGTATTTGCTTTGTTTCAGACATTTTTTAATAGGACTTTCTGAGGAATGTCTGTTTTACGCACCATCAGAAAGATTTGTAACAATGAAGCTGTAGGACTTTGGTTTGCGTGGGGGCATTCTTGCTACTTAACAATGAGTGAGGGTAAATAAAATGATTGTTTTGAAATAACAAAAGGCAATATGTGCTTTATGTGCCTTTTTTTCTTTTTTTTTTTGAGACAGAGTTTCGCTCTTGTTGCCCAGGCTGGAGTGCAGTGTTGTGATCTCGGCTCACCACAACCTCCACCTCCTGGGCTCAAGGGATTCTCCTGCTTCAGCCTCCCAAGTAGCTGGGATTACAGGCATGCGCCACCACACCTGGCTAATTTTGTATTTTTAGTTGGGATGGGGTTTTTCCATGTTGGTCAGGCTGGTCTTGAGCTCCCGACCTCACATGATCCACCTGCGCTGGCCTCCCAAAGTGCTGAGATTACAGGCATGAGCCACTGCACCTGGCCTGGCAATATGTGCTTTTAAAAAATTGTAGCTTTTGGCTGGGTACGGTGGCTCTCGCCTGTAATCCCAGCACTTTAAGAGGTCAAAGCGGGCAGATCACCTGAGGTCAGGAGTTTGAGACCAGCCTGGCCAACATGGTGAAACCCTGTCTCTACTAAAAATACACAAAAATTAGCCGGGCGTGGTGGCTCCCCAGCTACTCAGGAGGTTGAGGCAGGAGAATCGCTTGAGCCCGAGAGGTGGAGGTTGCAGTGAGCCGAGAACGTGCCATGGCACTCCAGCCTGGGCAATGAGTGAAACTCCGTCTCAAAAAAACAAAAAAAAAAATTGTGGCTTTTAAATTATTTTTCTAAAAAAGAAAGAGTGAATGGATAAAATGGAGTTTTCTAATTCAGGTGTTTACTTTTGAGAGATAGAAATTAAATCCGTAGTTCTTGCAACTTTTTTTTTTTAAACCCAAATCCTTTCTACAATTAGTAATTAAAGTGAAATGAGAAAAGAAAGAGTAGCTTTGAATCTCACTCAGTTGCTTAATGCTAAAATAATCTATTAAAATTTTTTTTTCTATGGAAAGGGGAAAACACTAGTGACAAATAAGATGGGAAGACAGGAAGAAGCTAGTTAGCAGAAGAGGCAACTCAGTGACAAGATAAACTCTTGATCTCTATCTTACTGGTCCGATTTGTGTGTTGTCACGTAGAATGAAAATATGTTTAGACGGTATAAGAAACCTCTGATGGAAAAATCTGGTTGTCTCCCTGCAGGTTGCTAAGAAAGAGTGATGTTTCAGGGAGGCTGAGTCTTGAAGCAGCAGCAGCAGATCTGACACTTGTCCTTCACAGCTCCTTTCCTGTCTCCCATAGTAAGGGCTATGTAAACATTTCATGATCAGTGCTGGCACTTGCAGCCGAGAATGCGGAGAATGCTTGCAGTTTCCCTTTTCATGCAGCAGAATGATAACAGGGACAATCTTTTGATTGTCTTATTATGTTTTGGCTTTTGTTGCTTTTAAAATTCCCAGTTTGTGTTGCTGTAAGGGAGGTAACATTTCTCACCCTTTCTGTAAATGAGTTTCCTGCCAAAACCTACCTGTGAGTTTCAAATGTTTAGACCAATCAACCAACCAAAGACCT
This sequence comes from Homo sapiens, assembly GCF_000001405.40. Taxonomy (NCBI): domain Eukaryota; kingdom Metazoa; phylum Chordata; class Mammalia; order Primates; family Hominidae; genus Homo; species Homo sapiens. Next base: position 31,570,811 of record NC_000012.12, on the reverse strand, counting down.
TGAGATAACCTAAGAAGGTATAACCTAAGAAGGGACAGTTACACAGTAATTGGGAAAACTTCTGCAAGGACAGATGTGCATTTCTCATTTTCTTTAAACCTATCAATTTACTGAAAATGAATATGATTTTTGTTAATAATGACAGTGCCAAAAAAAATTACTAAAATCTTTTTGAGTAAATGAAACCAAACTCCTAAAAAAAGAAAACTTTTTTTTTTTTTTTAAAGAGAATTTTGGCTGGGTGCAGTGGCTCACGCCTGTAATCCCAGCACTTTGGGAGGCCGAGGCGGGTGGATCACGAGGTCAGGAGATCGAGACCATCCTGGCTAACATGGTAAAACCCTGTCTCTACTAAAAATACAAAAATTAGCCGGGTGTGGTGGCGGGCGCCTGTAGTCTCAGCCACTCGGGAGGCTGAGGCAGGAGAATGGTGGGTGAACCCAGGAGGCGGAGCTTGTAGTGAGCCAAAGTCGTGCCACTGCACTCCAGCCTGGGCAACAGAGTGAGACTCCGTCTCTTAAAAAAAAAAAAAAAGAGAGAGAATTTTGATTAGTTCTTATCTGGAGATATATTGCTTATAATTTTTTTCTCTTGGTTTTTTTGTTTGTTTGTTTTTGAGATGGAGTATTGCTGTGTCACCCAGGCTGGAGTGCAGTGTTGGCGATCTTGGCTCACTGCAACCTCCACCTCCCGGGTTCCAGTGATTCTCCTGCCTCAGCCTCCTGAGTAGCTGGGATTACAGGCACCCGCCACCATGCCCAGCTAATTTTTTGTATTTTTAGTAGAGATGGGGTTTCATCGTGTTAGCCAGGATGGTCTCGATCTCCTGACCTTTTGATCTGCCTGCCTCAGCCTCCCAAAGTGTTGGGATTACAGGCATGAGCCACCGCACCAGGCCATTTTTTGGTAATTTTTTAGAATGAGTTGAATTGAGATGAATTTTAGTTGTTCCTAAGTACTGTGTACTGTGACTGGCAGTGGCTCTTAACTGTTATTTTTTGAGACAGAGTCTCACTCTGTTGCCCAGGCTGGAATGCAGTGACACAATCATGGCTCACTGCAACCTCTGCCTCCTGGGCTCAAGCTATCCTACTGCCTCAGCTTCTTGAGTAGCTGGAATCACAGGCATGTACCACCATACTCGGCTAATTTTTTTGTGTGTTTTTAATAGAGACAGGGTTCACCACATTGGCCAGGCTGGTCTTGAACTCCTGGCCTCAAGTGATCTGCCTGCCTCTGGCTCCCAAAGCACTGGGATTATAGGCATGAGCCATCGCTCCCAGCTGGCATTGGCTCTTTAAAATTTTTGGGAGGAGAATATAACACAGTCACAAAATAATGTAAGGGGGCAAATTGTGGAAAAGAAGGTCTATTTATGCCCAGCTCACTGCTCCTACTTTTTGTTTCCAGAGCCAGATATATATGTTACACACATAAAAGAGGTATGTAGGCCAGGCGTGGTGGCTCATACCTGTAATCCCAGAACTTTGGGAGGCAGGTGAATTGCTTGAGCTCAGGAGTTCGAGACCAGCCTGCGCAGCATGGTGAAACTCCATCTCTACCAAAAATACAGAAAATTAGCTGGGTGTTGGCAGTATGCGCCTGTGGTCCCAGCTACTCGGTAGGCTGAGGTGGGAGGACCACCGGAGCCTGGAAGGTGGAGATTTCATTGAGCCTAGATTTCACCACTGTACTCCAGCCTGGGTGACACAGTAAGACCCTCGTCTCAAAAAAAAAAAAAAAAAAAAAAAGGTATGTTGCTGGGTGTGGTGGCATGTATGTACCTGTAACCCTAGCTACCTGGGAGGCTAAGGTGGGAGGATTGCTTGAGCCCAGGAGTTCAAGACCAGTCTGAGCAACATACCAGACCCTTGTCTCAAAAACAAAGAGGAATATAGATTAGCCCACTTCAACATTTTATGAAGTGGTGGGAGATGACTTGGGAAAAGAGGTTGAATCAGCCTTTGGAGTTCTCTATCAGTTAGAATGCTGTGGTTTATAGGTCAAAGAGGAGATAAAGGAATTTGGCTGGTTCACAAAATTTAAAAGGAGTTTTTGGGGGCATGTGTTCAGGGTGTAATTTGAACGTGGCTCCAGCTTCATTTCACTGCAGCTGTTTAGGCGCAACCTTTATGCACTGTTGACTTCTCTTCTGGTGGCTTCCCTCAGAGTTATTAAGTGGCAGCAGAAGTTAAGAGTTTGTATTCGCACATCACACCTTCCTTAGAAGAGATTTAACTTTCCTCCTCTAGCCTTCACTCCTGTCAGGAAACAAAAATATGGGTGTTTGCTGTGGCCTGTCCTTTAACAAATCAGTGTGGCAAGTAAAATGGGATTAAACTGATTACTGAGACTAATTTGGGATGAAAACTATATAGCTAGTTCACAGTAGAAGAGGGAGGGAAGTGGCTGCTGGGAAACATTCCCAATACAGGTTGAGTATCCCTTATCCAAAATATTTGAGACCAAAAGTATTTAGGATTTTGTGTTTTTTCAGATTTTGGAATATTTGCATATACATAATGAGATTTCTTAAGGGTGGGACCTAAGTCTAAACATGAAATTCACTTATATTTCATATGTACCTTATTCATGTAGCCTGAAGGTAATTTTATACAGTATTTTAAATGATTTTGTGTACCCATCACATTAGTTCAGGTATGGAATTTTCCACTTGTGGTGTCATTAGCAGTCAAAAAATTTCAGATTTTGGAGCATTTCATATTTCTGGATTAGGGATGCTCAACCTGTATTCTCTACTTGTTGAATGCTAGACTATAAAGATGGCCCTCTGAAGGACAGAAAAGAGGCCAGTTGTGGTGGCTCACATCTGTAATCCCGTACTTTGGAAGGCCGAGGTGGGAGGATGGCTTGGCTTGAGCCCAGGAGTTCATGACTAGCCTGGTCAACAAAGCAAGACCCTGTCTCTACAAAACAAAACAACCCCCTAAAAATAGAAAAGAGCCACTGAAAGGTGTTTTGTTGTTGTTGTTTTTTAAAGAGGTGGAATCTTGCTCTGTTTGCCTAGGCTGGAGTGCAGTGGTGAGATCATAGCTCACTGCAGCCTTAATCTCCTGGGCTCAAGCAGTTCTCCCACCTCAGCCTCCCAAGTAGCTGGGACTGCAGGTATGCACCACCCTAAAAGGTTTTGAACAAAGGAGTGGCTTGCTCAAAACTGTAGCCTTAGGAATATCACTCTGGATGGAGGATATAGCATGGAATTAAACTGGGACGAGATTTGAAGTGGGGAAACCAATTAGGATGCTTTTTTTTTTTTTTTTTTTTTAGACAGAGTCTTGCTCTGTTGCCCAGGCTGGAGTGCAGTGGCACGATCTTGGCTCACTGCAACCTCTGAGGAGGCTGTTCTGTAAGACAAATTAGAAGGCAACATTCTGAATTAGAATAGTAGTGGTGGGAGTAAAGAAGATGGGGGATGGATAGGAAAGATAGGACACACAAGTAAATTGAATTTGGCAACTTCTTTTTTTTTTTTTGAGACAAGGTCTTGCTCTGGCACACAGGCTGGAGTGCAGTGATGCTATCACAGCTCACTGCAGCCTCCATCTCCTGGGCTCAGGTGATCCTCCCACCTCAGCTTTCCAAATAGCTGGGACTACACCCACGTGCCACCACACCCAGCTAATGAATTTGGCAACTTTATTGTATGTTGGGTTTGTCAACCTAAATAACAAATAGGGATAGGCTCTCTAAAAGAAAATTATTTTTATTTTGAAATAAGGTGTTGCAATAGGAATATACATGCGATAGTAAACTGTGTGTTCTTTAACATTGTGGAATTTGTATAGCTTACCAGTTTGAATGTCTGCAAGTGCTTGCACTGGGTTCTAACCTCCGCCTCCCAGGCTCAAGCAGTTCTCCTGCCTTAGCTTCCCAAGTAGCTGGTAGAACAGGCACACTCCACCGAACCCAGCTAATGTTCCAGTCATCTGGTACTACCATAGAAAAATGTTTACCAATTAGCTGTATAGAAGAATCTGATGTTGAACTGCCTGCTATTGGTTGATAATGCTTGTATAGTACTTACTATGTAGCCTGGCAGGATGTAATTGCACAATAAATATTAGCCACATTTTCATCATCATAATTAATTGGTTTAAACCTTGGGCAGTTTGATGATGAAATTTAAGGTATTCCTGGAACTCTCCTTTAGATATTTTTTCTTTAAAAAATTTTTAAAAAATTATTGTAGATACCTGGTCCTGCTATGTGGCCCTTGCTCGTCTTGAACTCCTGGCCTCAAGTGATCCTCCCACCTCTGCCTCCCAAAGTGCTGGGATTATAGGCATGAGCTACTGGGCCCAGCCTATGACATGTTTTATCGTAGAATATGCACCTAATTTTAATATATATATATCTGTTTTACCATGTTGCCTTTTAATCTCTTAATTTAATAACAATAATAAAAGTATTGCTTGAATTACACACACACACACACACACACACACACACACAGTTTTTAAGAGAGAGGTTCTCACTATGTTTCCCTGGCCGGAATGCAGTAGCTATTCACAGATGTGATTACAGCACACTATAGCCTCGAACTCCTGGGCTCAAGCAATCCTCCTGCCTCAGTCTCTTGAGTTGCTGGAACTACAGGTGTGCACCACCATGACTGGCTTCAAATTATATTTTTTAATTTTTTTTGAGACAAGAGTTTCACTTCTGTCACCCAGGCTTCACTGTAGTGGTGTGATCTCAGCTCACTGCCATCTCCACCTTCTGGGTTCAAGCGATCCTTCCACCCTAGTCTCCCAAGTAGTTGGGACTACAGGTGCATGCCACCATGCCCAGCTAATTTTTATATTTTTTTTTCTAGAGATGGGGCTTTACCATGTTGCCCAGGCTGGTCTCAAACTCCTGGGTTCAAGCAATCCACCTGCCCTAGCCTCCCAAAGTGCTGGGATTACAGGTGTGAACCTCTGTGCCAGGCCACTATTTTTTAGTTTTTATAGCCAGTCAAATATGGTCCCTAGTTTGCAGCTGGCAATCATGTTTAGAGACGTTAAATGAATTACCTAAGTTTGCATTGCTAGTGGCAGAATTAGAACCACAACAGAGATTCTTCTGGGTCCAAATCCAGGCCCCTTTAACTATAGAGAACAGTCTCAGAGAAACTTAATCATTCTCATGTGTAAAAGAGCCCACCTTTTAAATCTGATAGAGAGCAGGGCATTTATATACTTAAAAGGAACATTAATAAACCTATTATATGTTAACCTAAATCACATTCTAAATGAAAACAAGACTAACTTTGGGCCTTTTATGCATGAAAATTACAGATTTTGTTGGTTGTGCATCTGTTTTAGGAGTAGACTATCTACGTGTAAGCGACCAGAGGCATCCACATAAGCAAGATGTATAAATTGCTTAACAGGACTCAACGTGAGTGTAAAAGGACTCAATAGATTTACTCCTTTCTTTTCTTTCGTTTTTTTGTGAGATGATCTCAGCTCACTGCAACCTCTGCCTCCTGGGCTCAAGCGATCTTTCTATCCTAGTCTCCCAAGTAGTTGGGACTACAGGTGTGTGCCGGCACACCTAGCTGGTTTTTTTATTTTTTTGTGGAGACAGAGTTTTGCCATGTTGCCCAGGCTGGTCTCAAGTGAGCCACCTGCCTTGGCCTCTGAAAGTGCTGGGATTACAGGCATGAGCCACTGTGCCCAGCTAATCCCTTAATAGATGCAGTAGTCGAATTGGCAAGGTTGTGAATACCAGGAACCAAGAATCATTGAGGGTCATCTTGAGGCTGACTGCCACATTGATTAAATCTGTTAGGATCTATAATCTTCAGCAGTGGTTTTAAGTAGAGCATACTAAAGCAATAGTAGTGTGCAGGATTTTGATGCCATCTCCGCTGAAGGAAATAATACAATCTGCTATCTTTAGAATTGCAGTATGGCATGGGCTGGTTGTGGTGGCTCACACCTGTAATCTAGCACTTAGGGAGGCAGAGGTGGGAGGATCACTTGAGGCTAGGAGTGTGAGACCAGCCTGGGCAACATGGCAAAACCCTGTCTCTAAAAAAAATACAAAAATTAGCAAAGGGAGGTGGTGCCTACCTGTAGTCCCAGCTACTCTGGAGGCTGAGGTGGGAGGATCACTTGAGCCTGGGAGTTGGAGGTTGCAGTGAGCAGAGATCTCGCCACTGCTCTCCAGACTGGGTGACAGAGCCAGACCCTGTCTCAAAATAATAATAATAATAATAATAATAATAATAATAATAATAATAGAATGAAAAGAGAGGGGTGGTAGTGGAAGGGAACTGAAAAGTGCATGATAAATTATGTAAGGAAGCATTAGGCTTTGGTCAGAAATGTTGTTAGCCAGCTGCAAGTGAACCCATCTGGCACACTTTTTCATTATTCTTCTGAAATATTCATGGACTCTTAACAGTTCCTACCTTGTTTGCACTAGATCCTCACATACTCTTACCTTCTGGCAGCCAGTCTATGGTTGCAGTGGGTTGCTCTTGTTTTGTTTCTTGTTGCTGAGGATGTAATCAATAAAGAGTAGATACTCAAGGTAAAGTTTATGGATACTCAAATTCACTTACAAATAATGGCTAATCACTACATTTTATTATGCTTTAATGTGTATATATATAATATTTTATCTCTGAATTATGAATCTATTCTAGTCATTAAATAGTAACATTCATTTTCTTTTCTTTTTTGAGCTGGAGACTTGCTCTGTTGCCCAGGCTGGAGTGCAGTGGTGTGATTCTGGCTCATTGCAACTTCTGCCCCTCTGGGCTTAAGCAGTTCTCCTGCCTCAGCCTCCCTAGTAGCTGGGATTACAGGCATGCACTACCATGCTCAGCTAATTTTTATATTTTTGGTAGAGATGGTGTTTCACCACATTGGCCAGGCTGGTCTTGAACTCCTGACTTCAAGTGATCCACTCACCTCAGCCTCCCAAAGTGCTGGGATTACAAGGATGAGCCACCACAACCGGCCCACTTTCATTAAAGAAGTTTTTTTTAAATTTAGAGAGCATATGATTAAAAGTTGACTTAAATTTTTTTATTTGCAAAAGGCATTTGCATGTTTCTTATTGGTTTCCAAGAGATCTCTTGAAATCATTTAGGAAGTAGATGAAGAGAGACAGTAAATAATCCTTTTATTTTTAAAAATTAAATTATCTTCAGATCATTGATAGTAGGTTTATCTAGGATTCAAAAATGTTTCTGAAAATTGGTCTTACAAACTCAAAGTTCGTAAGACTGCTTTTTGCACTGAATAGTAACTTGAGTTCACTTAGGTGTTCCTGCTTCTGTTTTAGGAAGAAACTTTGCTGCTTTGTCTTTACAATTAAAGTATGATCTTCTTACATTAACTCTCTGCTTTACACAGGAATGGAATCCTCAGTTTTTGTTTTTGTTTTTACCCCCAAAGGAGGTTAGCAGTTGGAGTTCATTAAAAAATGCTGAGATTTTACCTAGTTGAGTGATAGATTTAGATTTTAGAAAGAGTAGGATCAGTCTTTCCATTTTTTGTAGATTAACACTGTGATGGCGGTGTTGAAAAAGGTGGGCTGTTTGTGTTATAAATTTGTATGATACGGATTTTCATGTTTAAGTCCAGTCTTCCTTTGGCTTCTCTTCTTTTAGCTTTGACTCCATTGTCTGCTTTGGCTTTGCAAGGTGAAAAAACATGGCCCCAGGGTCAGTGCTTCCCAGAAACCTAGCTGACTTTGATGGTCAGTAGAACTCATTTGCCACCTTTTAAACAAAAAGTTTGTAGACTTTGCAGGCTCTCCATCTGTCTCACCAAGCTAGGTGCAGTTATTGTGCAGAAAGTTTGCTTAGGGGCAGAGGAAGCCTTATCTACGTAAGTATTTAGAATTTGTTAAAAAAAAAAAAAAAGGAAAAAGGAAAGCAGTTTATAGATGAATACTTAAATAGTTTCATTTTGTACAAGTCACCTGGTTTTGTTCCCATGTGTTAGGAAGAAATGAGTTGGACAGAATTAGAAGTCTTGTCACTGAAGTAATTAAAGTTATTACAGAGCAGCTTTTTTAGATTAGAAAGGAAGAAGCTAGAAATTAGTCATTGGTTGCTTTCATTATCTATTATTTGCTTTCATTTTATTTTTCTTACAAAACTGCTATCATTACACAGATCGTATACAACTACAAGCCTTTTATTTTATTTTATTTTATTTCATTTTTTTTTTTAAAGACAGAGTTTCGCCTTTGTTGCCCAGGCTGGCGCGCAATGGTGCGATCTCGGCTCACCGCAACCTCCACCTCCCGGGTTCAACTGATTCTCCTGCCTTAGCCTCCCTACCTGGTAGCTGGAATTATAGGTGCCCGCCACCACGCCCAGCTAATTTTGTATTTGTATTAGAGATGGGGTTTCTCCATGTTGGTCAGGATGGTCTTGGAACTCCTGATCTCAGGTGATCCGCCTGCCTCGGCCTCCCAACGTGCTGGGATTATAGGCATGAGCTGCTGCGCCCGGCCCATTTATTTTAATTTAAATTTATCCTTTAGAAAGCAATTCTGTAGTATGAAATGTGTGTACTCTTTACCTGTGGGTACATAAATTGCCATTTTTATTTATTGGACTTTTGGGTGGTAATGAGGTAGGGCTGGCCAGATAGTATTAATATGATTTCTAAGCATGTCTTTCTGACTTCTAGACTTGAAGCTACTTGAGGGAAACAGTTTAGCATAATAGTTTATCATCTCTAAAATAGGGAAGTATTTAATTTATAATGGTGGCTAAGTTGATGAATGAGATAATGTACAGAGTCTGGGGTATATGGGAAGTACCCAATTAATGTAACCTGTTATTTATTTATATTTGTAGTCCTTCAGCATCTACTACAGTGCTTGCACTTAATAGATGCTCACTGCAACTTTGTTGAATGAATGATGTGGCTTAAACTTACGGAGAAAGTTCCAGAATATATAGCCATTGTCAGCATGATTGATGAATCTATTACAAAGGGAAAAAATGCTCATGTGTTTGATATTTATACCTCATTTTGACTGTAGTTACTACACTCTTAATGCCATACTAGCTCCTGTCACAGGCCTGACAAATAGTAGGCGCTCAATGTATGTTTGAATAAATTATTGATTTTTTGTTCTTCCTGGAAATGGCAATGTTTTCTATTTGTCACTTTATGTTATGCTAAACAGGTTTGAGTTTTAGGAGTCCTCTTTACTATAAATTGAGGTGGTTAGATGTTGGCTAATCAGGTTTCAAAATATGTATATATATATTTTAAACGTAAGCATCAAGTCTCAAGTAAGCCCCTTTTCCTAGAGATGAACTGTTGCAGGCATGTGGAGCATAAATTGTTGTTGTTGTTATTATTATTATTTGAGACAGGGTCTCACTATGTTGCCCAGACTGTTCTTGAACTTCCGGGCTCAGGTGATCCTTCCTCCTCAGCCTCTCAAGTAGCTGGAATTATAGGTGTGTGCCACCACGCTTGGCTTAGGAAATTATTGTGAAATGTATTTGTGTATGCTATGCTTGAGCTGGGATATATTTTCTTGCTGTTTCTCTTTTGCGATATGTGGATAAGGAAATGCTTTGCTGTGCTTTAAATTGCGGGCTTTGCCCCCTTGAGATGCGTACATGAGTATGGTGCAGCTGTGTATCTGTGACTCGGACAGATCCTGAGTATAGATCCTTTTTGGTAACTGATCTCCTCTTTTCTTCATCCCTTACATACGGAGTTCTCTTTTTAAATCCCTGAACATAACTGGGATCTTGACAAAGGTTCCAGCAAATCTCCTATTCTATTTTCTCGTAAGAATACTCCCTCTGATCTTAGTACTTTCTTCCACGGTCTCTGCTAGGTGAAATGAGCTCACTAAGCATAGTTTACTCTCTCTTTTTGGTAGTAAAGGAGCTGGTTGCAATATTAAACAAGGTGTTCAGGGTAGCCCTCACTGAGAGGTGATCTTTGAACAAAGACTTAAGAAAGTAAGGGAGTTAGCCAAGTAGATATTTGGGAAAAGTATCCCAAAGTAAACATCAAGCGGTCACCTGGTGAGTTCGAGTAACCCTAAAGAGTCTGGAGGAGTGAACAAGAGGAATGAATAATAGAAGGGGAAGCCACAGGAGGCCCCATCATGAAGGGCCTTATGTTGTTGAAAGGACTTTGGTTTTTACTCTAAGAGAATGGGGGGAGCCATTGCCTGATTTGAACAGGGTAGAGAGACCTCTGACTTAGTTTTAAAAGGATCATCCTGGCAGCTAGCTGTATTAAGACTAAATTGTGTGTGTGTATGCAGGGAGGTTCAAGGGTAGAAGCAGGAAGATCTGTTGGGAAGCCTGCAGTAATTTAAGTAAGGGATGATGGTGGTGGCTCAGGCCACATAGTAGCAGTGGAGATAGTGAGATGTAGTCAATTTCTGGACATATTTGGAAGATTGAAACAATAGGATTTTGTTATCAAAAGGCGGGGTGTGAGAGAAAGGGGATGAATCAAAGATGACTCTAAAGGTTTTAAACTTCAGTAAGTTGAAGAAAAATGGAATTACCATCAACTTAACTGGAGAATACCATAGTATGGGTTGCATAGGTTGGAGGAGGGTTGGCACAGCTCAGGAATCCATTTTTGGACATTCTGAGTTTGAGACACCTGTAAGATATTCTGGTCAAGTAGGCAGTTAGACGTATGAGTCTGGAGTTAAGAGAGAAGACTGAGCTGGAATTATACATTATGGAGGCAAAATATTTAAATCCTTGAGTTTAGATAAGATCACCAAGGGAGAGAATGTGGATAGAGAAGAGGAAGAGGGCCAAGGATAGTTCATGGATGTTCTAACAGTAAGATTGGATCAGTAAGCACATTTACAACATTTTAGGGGAAAAATTACTAAGTATTTTTTGAATATATGGAGAATAGAACAGTAAAGAAGGAAGGCAGCAGCAGCACTAAGAGTATCTCTTTTTTCTTCCCTTTTTTCCTTCCGTTGTAAAATTCCTAAAAAATTTCCATGTGGTAATAGACTCAAGGTCAGAGTGAACACACAGCTAACCCTTTTCTTGGTGGATTAATGCCTTGATTCTATTTCTTTCACTGTTGTTTTTCTTTTTTCTTTTATTTCTTCTTTCACTATTTTATTGAAATTCTTAAATCCATGATTAAACTTCAAGTGTATAATTGCTAAACAGATATTAATAAGTGCTGTCAGATTCTTACATTTCCATTACACTTTAATTAAGCTAAACAGTATAGGCAAAACTTTCCTAATGTTAATAAAAATTAAAGATGTAAATTCTGAAAATCATCAGCGGTTGAACATAATAGGATTTTAACATTTTTCTTGTGTTTTTACTCTTTGTCTGGAGATAACTCCAAAATATTTGTGTTTCAGCTACTTTACATGCTTAAGCAGTACATGGTAATGAATGATAAATACCTGGTCTAGTTGATGGAACATCCTTGCCAATACTTTGAATTAGATTAACTAATTCTGGACTATAATATGGCATAGGAGACAGTGTCCTCTTTTATTCTTTTATTCTGTGTTTCCAGTTTTGTAAGCTTGTCTTTGAGTTTGATTTGTTGAGGAAAAATAACTTAGGGAGGGTAGCTTAATTTGCCATGAGTTCATCGTTTCCTCCACTAATGTGAAGGTTTAACTAAAATAGACCGAAGACTGACTGTTTTTCCCTACTCTCCCATGAGAATTTTCTATCAGTACGAGGATGGTAGAAAGTTTACTTTTCATTTTTCATCTGGGGTTAGAACTTATGTTCCAAGTGACATATTTACCAGTGAATTAAGGTGTATTTGATTATATGATCTATATTTGAAGGGACAAGTATATTTTCTTTCTTTCAGCTGTTTTTCTTTTCGTATTACAAAAAGGTAATGCTTCCAGGTGCTGAATAGATGATAGTCAAGAGTCTTCAGTCATTCCTAGAGAGGAGATGAAATGGTGTTAGTTGCATTTGTTAGTAAAAATCATTTATCTGGCTATATTCCTGAAGAACCACAGAATTTCAAATGCTAAAATAAACTTTCATTTGCTAAATGGATGCATAGTTAATGCTTAGTCATGAGATTGATTCATGTTTGGGTTCTACTACTGAAATTAAGCCAGTCCTTTAGGAGGAGGCAAGCAAAGGGGAGTTGATTCAGTGTTGTGTAAAGTGTTATCCATCAGTATGAGTATTTTTCATGTTTTATTCATGAGTAATAGATTCAAAGAAGTTTTAATAAAGTGCCCAATTTTATTTGCATAGGTCAGAATAAACTTTGTAAATAAGTTTGTGATACCTGGGTACAAACTAAAAGGCTAGGAATGAAGTTATTTGGGTCTTATGCCTAAAGTTTAGGAGTTCCAGGAAAATTTTTCTGTTAAGCCCTGGAGGTCTACATGTTTCTGTAGATCAAAGAGGTGAGAACCATTTCTCTTATTGTGCTGTTCTTGTAGTTGCACTGTAATAATCTTTCATGGAACAACTGAGAACTCATGTCATTGTGGAGAGTCACCAGTGCAATTGCCTCTTGCTCCAAGCCCAGGAAAAAGAAAACAAGGGGGTTGGGGGGTGGGTTCTGATTCATATATGTATAAGGAAATTAAGAACACCATCTATGAGGAATTGCTGAAAAGAACAATAAAACTGTCTGGTCTTTGATACACGTCTACATTATTTTAGAAAGGGCTCAGTGTCTGAGTATCTCTAGCGCTGTTATCAAGGTAGTGAACTCCTAAGACTAGTCTATGCGATTGCTTTTGTTTGGGGTTTTTAGACTTTTTTTTCTAAGAGACGGGATCTCTTTTGCCCAGGCTTTAGTGCAGTGGTGAGATCATAGCTCACCGGAGCTTCAAACTCCTGGGCTTAACCAGTCCTCTCGCCTCAGCCTCCAAAATAGCTGGGACTACTACCATGCCTGGCTGAAGGGTTGGGAGACTTCAGAGCAGCTTCTTGCCTGCATTGGTTTTGATGTGGCTAAAGTGGTGAGCATTTCTGTGTCTTTTTTTTTTTTTTTTTTTTTTTGCCACCACAGCTCCCCAGTTTCTCTGGTTTTAATAGGTTGTATATTGTTCCCACGTTTCAGCCCTTTCTTTTTCTCTCTTCTCCTTTTCCCTACTCTCTAAAATACCTAAAGGGTAGTAGTCAGATAGGTTATTTTTTTTCAATTGCTAAACTTCCTATTCACCTTATGCCTTGAATTTGTACGTTTACTTTTTGCCTTTAAAAACAAAGTTCGAGATCAGCCTGGGTGACATGGTGAAACCCTGTTTCTACAACAAATACAAAAATTAGCCTAGTGTGCTGGTGCATACCTGTAATCCCAGCTACTTGGGAGGCTGAGGTGGGAGGAGGATCAGTTGAGCCCAGGAGGTTGAGGCTGCAGGGAGCCATGAGCATGCCACTGCACTCCAGCCTGGGTGACAGAGCGAGACCCTGTCTTAAAAGAAAAAAGAAAAAAATGAATATGAATATAACTATATTTTTAAATTCTGATATGCATTTTATAGAAAATTTAAGCAATACAGGAAAATGTAAAGAAAGTAAAAATGAACAGCAACTCAACTGTTTAGAGATAACTACTAATACATTTAGTAGCCATTATGTCTCTCTACTCTCTATGCCTGTATAATTAACTTTAATATATATTGTTTGATTTTAATATTTGTATTTAATGTCTTACTAATCATATGTAGTAAAATCATTATGGATGCTGTCTTAACCTGTTTAAACCCAATGATATATTGTGGAGATAATTCCATTTTATATCTACATTATCTAGAATACCATGTACTTTACACCCTTATTTACAGGTATATCCTTATTTACAGATTCTCTTACTATAGATTCTGAGGTTGTTTTGATTTTTTTGTTATTTTAAGCAGCATTGAGGAGAACCTCCTAGTGGGAAAATCTTTGCACACATTTTTAATGATTCCTTCAAGTCACATTTCTAAGGAAACTGCTGGGTCAAGAGGCATGCATATTTCTTTTTTTTAATCATATTGCCAATTTACTCATCTGCTAGTATTCTTGAAGGAATATAAACAGTTCGGCAGTATTTTTACACTTCAGTGTGTATTTTGTTAAGAAAACAGACCTGACTGAAAGACCTAGAATCACTTTATTCTGTAAACAATAGGTTTCTTTTCTTGTTTTCTATTTTTATTTTTTATTTAAAGTAGAATAGAGATAGGGTCTTGCTATGTTGCCCAGGCTGGTCTTGAACTCCTGACCTCAAGCCTAGCAAACAGTAGTTTTCTTAATATTGTTCTGCAAAGCCTCTGAAATTCCCAGATGTCATAAAGTTCTCTTTTGAAAATTAAGAATGGCCTTTTAGCTGGGCATGGTGGCTCACGCCTGTAATCCCAGCACTTTGGGAGGCCGAGGCAAGTGAATCAGCTGAGGTCGGGAGTTCAAGACCAGCCTGACCAACAATGTGAAACCCTATCTCTACTAAAAATACAAAAATTAGCTGGGCATGGTGGCAGGTGCCTGGAGTCCCAGCTACTTGGGAGGCTGAGACAGAACTGTTTGAACCCAGGAGGCGGAGGTTGCAGTGAGCCGAGGTCATGCTGCTCCACTCCAGTCTGGGTGACAGAGTGAGACTGCATCTTAAAAAAAGAAAAAAAAGGGGGGAGGAGCCAAGATGGCCAAATAGGAACAGCTCCAGTCTACAGCTCCCATTGTGAGCAACGCAGAAGACGGGTGATTTCTGTATTTCCAACTGAGGTACCGGGTTCATCTCACTGGGGAGTGCCAGACAGTAGGTGCAGGACAGTGGGTGCAGCGCACCACGCGCAAGCCGAAGCAGGGCGAGGCATCACCTCACCCGGGAAGCGCAAGGGGTCAGGGAATTCCCTTTCCTAGTCAAAGAAAGCAGTGACAGAGGGCACCTGGAAAATCGGCTCACTCCCACCCTAATATTGTGCTTTTCCAACGGGCTTAAAAAATGGCACACCAGGAGATTATATCCCGCACCTGGCTCGGAGGGTCCTACTCCCAGGGAGTCTCGCTCATTGCTAGCATAGCAGTCCGAGATCAAACTGCAAGGTGGCAGTGAGGCTGGGGGAGGGGCACCTGTCATTGCCAAGTTAGTTGTTTGATTAGGTAAACAAAGCGGCCAGGAAGCTCGAACTGGGTGGAGCCCACCACAGCTCAAGGAGGCCTGCCTGCATCTGTAGGCGCCACCTCTGGGGGCAGGGCACAGACAAAAAGACAGCAGTAACCTCTACAGACTTAAATGTCCCTCTCTGACAGCTTTGAAGAGAGTAGTGGTTCTCCCAGCATGCAGCTTGAGATCTGAGAACGGGCAGACTGCCTCCTCAAGTGGGTCCCTGACCCCCGAGTAGCCTAACTGGGAGGCACCCCCCAGTAGGGGTGGACTGACACCTCACACGGCCAGGTACTCCTCTGAGACAAAACTTCCAGAAGAACGATCAGGCAGCAGCATCTGCGGTTCACCAATATCCGCTGTTCTGCAGCCACTGCTGCTGATACCCAGGCAAACAGGGTCTGGAGTGGACCTCCAGCAAACTCCAACAGACCTGCAGCTGAGGGTCCTGTCTGTAAGAAGGAAAACTAGCAAACAGAAAGGACATCCACACCAAAAACCCATCTGTACGTCACCATCATCAAAGTCCAAAGGTAGATAAAACCACAAAGATGGGAAAAAAACAGCAGAAAAACTGGAAACTCTAAAAATCAGAGTGCCTCTCCTCCTCCAAAGGAACGCAGCTCCTCACCAGCAACGGAACAAAGCTGGACAAAGAATGACTGACGAGTTGAGAGAAGAAGGCTTCAGATGATCAAACTACTCTGAGCTACAGGAGGAAGTTCAAACCAATGGCAAAGAAGTTAAAAGCTTTGAAAAAAAATTAGATGAATGGATAACTAGAATAACCAATGCAGAGAAGTCCTTAAAGGACCTGATGGAGCTGAAAACCAAGGCACGAGAGCTACGTGACGAATGCAGAAGCCTCAGTAGCCAATGTGATCAACTGGCAGAAAGGGTATCAGTGATGGAAGACGAAATGAATGAAGTGAAGCGAGAAGAGAAGTTTAGAGCAAAAAGAATAAAAAGAAGTGAACAAAGCCTCCAAGAAATATGGGACTATGTGAAAAGACCAAATCTACATCTGATTGGTGTACCTGAAAGTGACGGGGAGAATGGAACCAAGTTGGAAAACACTCTGCAGGATATAGGAAAACTTCCCCAATCTAGCAAGGCAGGCCAACATTCAAATTCAGGAAATACAGAGGACGCGACAAAGATACTCCTCGAGAGAGCAACTCCAAGACACATAATTGTCAGATTCACCAAAGTTGAAATGAAGGAAAAAATGTTAAGGGCAGCCAGAGAGAAAGGTCGGGTTACCCACAAAGGGAAGCCCATCAGACTAACAGCAGATCTCTTGGCAGAAATTCTACAAGCCAGAAGAGAGTGGGGGCCAATATTCAACATTCTTAAAGAAAAGAATTTTCAACCCAGAATATCATATCCAGCCAAACTAAGCTTCATAAGTGAAGGAGAAATAAAATACTTTACAGACAAGTAAATGCTGAGAGATTTTGTCACCACCAGGCCTGCCCTAAAAGAGCTCCTGAAGGAAGCACTAAACATGGAAAGGAACAACCGGTACCAGCCACTGCAAAAACATGCCAAATTGTAAAGACCATCAAGGCTAGGAAGAAACTGCATCAACTAACAAGCAAAATAACCATCTAACATCATAATGACAGGATCAAATTCACACATAACAATATTAACTTTAAATGTAAATGGGCTAAATGCTCCAATTAAAAGACACAGACTGGCAAATTGGATAAAGAGTCAAGACCCATCAGTGTGCTGTATTCAGGAAACCCATCTCACGTGCAGAGACATACATAGGCTCAAAATAAAGGGATGGAGGAAGATCTACCAAGCAAATGGAAAACAAAAAAAGGCAGGGGTTGCAATCCTAGTCTCTGATAAAACAAACTTTAAACCAACAAAGATCAAAAGAGACAAAGAAGGCCATTACATAATGGTAAAGGGATCAATTCAACAAGAAGAGTTAACTATCCTAAATATATATGCACCCAATACAGGAGCACCCAGATTCATAAAGCAAGTCCTTAGTGACCTACAAAGTGACTTAGACTCCCACACAATAATAATGGGAGACTTTAACACCCCACTGTCAACATTAGACAGATCAATGACACAGAAAGTTAACAAGGATACCCAGGAATTGAACTCAGCTCTGCACCAAGTGGACCTAATAGACATCTACAGAACTCTCCACCCCAAATCAACAGAATATACATTCTTTGCAGCACCACACCACACCTACTCCAAAATTGACTACATAGTTGGAAGTAAAGCACTCCTCAACAAATGTAAAAGAACAGAAATTATAACAAACTGTCTCTCAGACCACAGTGCAATCAAACTAGGACTCAGGATTAAGAGACTCACTCAAAAACACTCAACTACATGGAAACTGAACAACCTGCTCCTGAATGACTACTGGGTAAATAATGAAATGAAGGCAGAAATAAAGATGTTCCTTGAAACCAAGGAGAACAAAGACACAACATACCAGAATCTCTGGGACACATTCAAAGCAGTGTGTACAGGGAAATTTATAGCACTAAATGTCCACAAGAGAAAGCAGGAAAGATCTAAAATTGACACCCTAACATCACAATTAAAAGAACTAGAAAAGCAAGAGCAAACACATTCAAAAGCTAGCAGAAGGCAAGAAATAACTAAGATCAGAGCAGAACTGGAGGAAATAGAGACCAAAAAAACCCTTCAAAAAATTAATGAATCCAGGACCTGGTTTTTTGAAAAGATCAACAAAATTGACAGACCGCTAGCAAGACTAGTAAAGAAGAAAAGAAGAATCAAATAGGCGCAATAAAAAATGATAAAGGGGATATCACCACCGATCCCACAGAAATACAAACTACCATCAGAGATACTATAAACACCTCTACGCAAATAAACTAGAAAATCTAGAAGAAACGGATAAATTCCTTGACACATACATCCTCCCAAGACTAAACCAGGAAGAAGTTGAATCTCTGAATAGACCAATAACAGGCTCTGAAATTGAGGCAATAATCAATAGCTTACTAACCAAAAAAAGTCCAGGACCAGATGGATTCACAGCCAAATTCTACCAGAGGTAGGTACAAGGAGGAGCTGGTACCATTCCTTCTGAAACTATTCCAATCAGTAGAAAAAGAGGGTATCCTCCCTAACTCTTTTTATGAGGCCAGCATCATCCTGATACCAAAGCCTGGCAGAGACACAACCAAAAAAAGAGAATTTTAGACCAATATCCTTGATGAACATCGATGCAAAAATCCTCAATAAAATACTGGCAAACCAAATCCAGCAGCACGTCAAAAAGCTTATCCACTATGATCAAGTGGGCTTCATCCCTGGGATGCAAGGCTGGTTCAACATACACAAATCAATAAATGTAATCCAACATAAACAGAACCAAAGACAAAAACCACATGATTATCTCAATAGATGCAGAAAAGGCCTTTGACAAAATTCAGCAGCCCTTCATGCCAAAAACTCTCTATAAATTAGGTGTTGATGGGACGTATCTCAAAATAATAAGAGCTATCTATGACAACCCACAGCCAATATCATACTGAATGGGCAAAAACTGGAAGCATTCCCTTTGAAAACAGGCACAAGACAGGGATGCCCTCTCTCACGACTCCTATTCAACATAGTGTTGGAAGTTCTGGCCAGGGCAATCAGGCAGGAGAAGGAAATAAAGGGTATTCAATTAGGAAAAGAGGAAGTCAAATTGTCCCTGTTTGCAGACAACATGATTGTCTATCTAGAAAACCCCATCGTCTCAGCCCAAAATCTCCTTAAGCTGATAAGCAACTTCAGCAAAGTCTCAGGATACAAAATCGATGTGCAAAAATCACAAGCATTCTTTTACACCAATAACAGACAAACAGAAAGCCAAATCATGAGTGAACTCCCATTCACAATTGCTTCAAAGAGAATAAAATACCTAGGAATCCAACTTACAAGGGATGTGAAGGGCCTCTTCAAGGAGAACTACAAACCACTGCTCAATGAAATAAAAGAAGATACAAACAAATGGAAGAACATTCCATGCTCATGGGTAGGAAGAATCAATATCGTGAAAATGGCCATACTGCCCAAGGTAATTTATAGATTCAATGCCATCCCCATCAAGCAACCAATGACTTTCTTCACAGAATTGGAAAAAACTACTTTAAAGTTTATATGGAACCAGAAAAAGAGCCTGCATCGCCGAGTCAATCCTAAGCCAAAAGAACAAAGCTGGAGGCATCACGCTACCTGACTTCAAACTATACTACAAGGCTACAGTAACCAAAGCAGCATGGTACGGGTACCAAAACAGAGATATAGATCAATGGAACAGAGCAGAGCCCTCAGAAATAATGCCGCATATCTACAACTATCTGATCTTTGACAAACCTGAGAAAAACAAGCAATGGGGAAAGGATTCCCTATTTAATAAATGGTGCTGGGAAAACTGGCTAGCCATATGTGGAAAGCTGAAACTGGATCCCTTCCTTACACCTTTTACAAAAATTAATTCAAGATGGATTAAAGACTTAAATGTTAGACCTAAAACCATAAAAACCCTAGAAGAAAACCTAGGCAATACCATTCAGGACATAGGCATGGGCAAGGACTTCATGTCTAAAACACCAAAAGCAATGGCAACAAAAGCCAAAATTGACAAATGGGATCTAATGAAACTAAAGAGCTTCTGTACAGCAAAAGAAACTACCATCAGAGTGAACAGGCAACCTACAAAATGGGAGAAAATTTTTGCAACCTACTCATCTGACAAAGGGCTAATATCCAGAATCTACAATGAACTCAAACAAATTTACAAGAAAAAAACAACCCCATCAACAAGTGGGCGAAGGATATGAACAGACACTTCTCAAAAGAAGACATTTATGCAGCCAAAAAAACACATGAAAAAATGCTCATCATCACTGGCCATCAGAGAAATGCAAATCAAAACCGCAATGAGATACCATCTCACACCAGTTGGAATGGCGATCATTAAAAAGTCAGGAAACAACAGGTGCTGGAGAGGATGTGGAGAAATAGGAACACTTTTACACTGTTCTTGGGACTGTAAACTAGTTCAACCATTGTGGAAGTCAGTGTGGCAATTCCTCAGGGATCTAGAACTAGAAATACCATTTGACCCAGACATCCCATTACTGGCTATATACCCAAAGGATTATAAATCATGCTGCTATAAAGACACATGCACACGTATGTTTATAGTGGCACTATTCACAATAGCAAAGACTTGGAACCAACCTAAATGTCCAAGAACGATAGACTGTATTAAGAAAATGTGGCACATATACACCATGGAATACTATGCAGCCATAAAAAATGATGAGTTCATGTCCTTTGTAGGGACATGGATGAAACTGGAAACCATCGTTCTCAGCAAACTATTGCAAGGACCAAAAACCAAACACCACATGTTCTCACTCATAGGTGGGAATTGAACAATGAGAACACATGGACACAGGAAGGGGAACATCACACACTGGGGACTGTTGTGGGGTGGGGGGAGGGGGGAGGGATAGCATTAGGAGATATACCTAATGCTAAATGATGAGTTAATGGGTGCAGCACACCAGCATGGCACATGTATACATATGTAAGAAACTTGCACATTGTGCACATGTACCCTAAAACTTAAAGTATAATAATAATAAAATTTAAAAAAAAAAGAAAAAAAGAATGGCCTTTTATGATTCCTCAGAGATCTAGAACCAGAAATACCATTTGACCCAACAATCCCATTACTGGGTATATACCCAAAGGAATATAAATCATCCTGTTACAAAGATGCATGCATGCGTATGTTCATTGAAGCACTATCTGCAGTAGCAAAGACGTGGAATCAACCCAAATGCCCATCAATGATAGACTGGGACCTGGGAGCCATTATCCTCAGCAAACTAACACAGGAGCAGAAAACCAAACACTGCATATTCTCACTTACAAATGGGAGGTGAATAGTGAGAACACATGGACACAGGGAGGGGAACAACACACACTGGGGTCTGTTGGAGGTTGGGATGGGGGAAGAGAGCATTAGGAAAAATATATTTAGTGCATACTGGGCTTAATACCTAGGTGATGGGTTGATAGGTGCAGCAAACCACCATGGCACACATTTACCTGTGTAACAAACCTGCATATCCTGCACCTGTACCCTGGAACTTAAAATAAAAATAAAAATTAAAAAAAATAGTCACATTAAAAAAAAAGAATGGCCTTTTATGGAAACCCATAGGACCCAAGAAAGTAATAATTTTCTAAAGAATAGAAAATTAGAGCCATATAGATAGCGTAATTAAAATAATAATATTTGTTTCAGAATAATTTTAAAAATTGTAACCTTAAGTTTTATGCACATTTTTTAAAAAATCAGGATTCCTTTTCTTAGAATTAAGGAAAAAGTCAGTGCCGTTTTACGATAACAAGAAGACTTGGTTATCATTGCTGATAGGGGCAGATGCTACATTTTATCTCTCATTTCTAAACTTTCTTACTAAAGTCAGAATTTAAAAATGAACTTGGCCAGGCATGGTGGCTCATGCCTGTAATCCCAGCACTTCGGGAGGTCCACTCGGAAGGATCACCTGAAGCCAGGAATTCAGAAACAGCGTGTACAACAAAGCGAGACTTCGTGTCTCTAAAAAAATTTTTAAAGAATTAGCCAGGTATAGTGGCAGGTGCCTGTACCCCGAGCTACCCAGGAGGCTAAGGCAGGAGGATCACTTGAGCTCAGGGGTTCAAGGCTGCTGTGAGCTATGATCGTACCACTGCACCCCAGCCTGGGTTGACAAAGCAAGACCCAGTCTCTAAAGGAAAAAAAACCCTTGGCTTTCAGTAGTACTCTGTTTATTGATGTTATGCCAAAAGGAACCAGTTTTCAGCTGTACCCAATAATATATTCTCTGCATATGGGGACTGTAGTTCTGACCTTAGAAAAATACATAGCCATTAATTAATTAAATTGGTCTCCTTGAAAGCACACTTGTTGAAAGGTCTGTCCTTTTACCCAAAGGAGGAAGAGGTTTGATTAATTTACAGATTCTGCTCTGGTGTATAACACAACATTTGAGAAAATGTCAGGTTCTCATGAGTTGAAAATTATACAGGAAATTTATTTATTTATTGTTGTTTGACAAAACGAGTATGATCTAAACATTTATTTGTTTATTGAACTAGGTTCAGGAGTCCAAGAGGTCTTGTGATGTAGTCAAGTTTTTAAAGTGGCAGTATGTCTTGCCAGGAAAAGAACCTGGTCTTAGATACTGTGGGTTCTGCTTCTGGTGAGAGAGTCGCTTAAATTCTTTTTTTTTTCTTCTTCTTTTTTTTTTGTTTTTTGAGACAGATGTTGCCTAAGCTGCTGTGCAGTAGAGCGATCACAGCTCACGGCAGCCTTGACCTCCTGGGCTCAGGTGATCCTATACCTCAGCTTTCCGAATAGCTGGGGCTATAGGTATATGCCACCATGTCTGGCTAATTTTTAAAACTTTTTTTGTAGAGGTGGGGTTTCACTTTGTTGCCCAGGCTGGTCTTGAACTTCTGCGCTCAAGTGATCCTCCTGCCTCGGCCTCCCAAAGCACTGGGATTACAAATGTGTCCCACTGTGCCTGGCTGGATTCTAATGTGAACTATATTAGATGTTAAGTTTAATATTTTAATATTTTTAATATCTTACGTTTTAAGCGAAAGAAGACAAATGCCTTTAAAACTTTTTAGAGGCTGGGTGCGGTGGCTCACACCTTCAGTCCCAGCACTTTGGGAAGCCGAGGTTGGTGGATCACCTGAGGTCAGGAGTTTGAGACCAGCCTGGCCAACATGGTGAAACCCTGCCTCTACTAAAAATACAAAAAAGTAACCAGGCTTGGTGGCAGGTGCCTGTAATCCCAGCTACTTGGGAGGCTGAGGCAGGAGAATTGCTTGAACCCGGTGGTAGAGGTTGCAGTGAACCAAGATCGCACCATTGCACTCCAGCCTGGGCAACCAGAGCAAAACTCCGTCTCAAAAAACAAAACAAACTTTTTAGTTTGAGGCCGGGTGCAGTGGTTTACGCCTGTAATCCCAGCATTTTGGGAGGTGGGGCGAGTGGATCACGAGGTCAGAATTTCAAGACCAGCCTGACCAATATGATGAAACCCCATCTCTACTAAAAATACAAAAATTAGCCAGCTTGGTGGCATGTGTCTGTAGTTCCAGCTACTCAGGAGGCTGAGGCAGGAGAATCGCTTGAACCCAGGAGGCAGAGGTTGCAGTGAGCCAAGATTGTGCCACTGCACTCCAGCCTGGGTGACCGAGACTCTGTCTCAAAAACAAAACAAAAAACTTTTTAGTTTGCTAGCCGGAAATTTTCATCTAATCATGTCTAAGATTTCTTTTAAAATACTTCAATGCCTGCTCCCTGTCTTAAAAAGTTGGGAGGGGAGTAGATAAAACAAGAATAGTAAACTATTGATAATTATTGAAGCTGGGTAGTGAGTACATGGGAGTTCATTATACTTTTCCCTTTTTCTCTGGCCTTAGATATATGTTTAACAATGTGTATGTAAAAAAAAGAAAAGTAACACAACAATAAGTGCAAATCTGCTGAGATTGCACACAGGCACAGGTTCCTCAGTGTTAACTTGTCTGATAGGAAGCAACATGGCAGTGACCTCAGAGAAACTCTAGAGGAAAAAAGCGTAATGGCTAATGAAGCATATTTGCTGGAAAGAGAGAAAAACTCAGAACTGTCATTCCCCATGTGTGACTCTTTGTTTCTGTTAAACATAGCAGATATGTCTGTGCCAATTAAACTTGAATGTTAGTATGATATTTTTAGAAATTCATGTTGCGGACTGTAAACTCAAAATAAATTTTGGTTGCGGTTGTCGAATGTATCAAACAAATATTACCATATTTTTATAGAACAAGGAAACTTAGTATACAGAAAGTACACTTCCAACAAATGTTTTTCACTCCTCCCTGGGTCTTTTAGATGTGGGGTTATAATGTTGCTTTTAAATGCAGAATAATTTTATACTCTTGGAAATAAAAATTTTTTGAGATGGAGTCTCGCTCTGTCTCCCAGGCTGGAGTGCAGTGGCGTGATCTCGGCTCACTACAACATCTGCCTCCTGGTTCAAGCGATTCTCCTGCCTCAGCCTCCTGAGGAGCTGGGATTACAGGCGCGTACCACCATGCCTGGCTAATTTTTGTATTTTTAGTAGAGATGTGGTTTCACCATGTTGGTCAGGCTGGTCTCGAACTCCTGACCTCAAGTGATCCACTCACCTTAGCCTTCCAGAGTGCTGGGATTACAGGTGTGAGCCACCGCACCTGGCCAAAATAAAAACTTTATTCCCACTAAATATGTATTACTCAGGGAGGAGTTGAAAAGAAATATAATGGAGAAAGAATTTAAGAGAGCTTTGTTTTGGTAAAGATTTGGGGAAATGTTCAGAAAATGGTTATAGAACGACACCGTGCTTAATAAATAACATTTTGAAATGGGAAAAACAAATATGCTGTAACATAAAGCCAACTTACCTAGATTTGTTATTATATGGGTCATATATATAGCATATATATATAGTTTCTAATTTGAGAAAGAATTTTTAAAATCACAGAAAATGCCTGGTTATTAAAACTAGAAAGCAAAGAAAAAATAACTTGAAAGTACAAACACTAGCCATACAGTGTTAATATTTCACTGTATTTCCTTTCCATTTTTAAAGCTTTTGTGTAGATTTTCTTGTTACCTTACATATTCCCCCACTTTTTTTTTTTTTTTTTTTTTGAGACAGTGTCTTACTCTCTCACCCATACTGGAGTGCAGTGTTGTGATCCTGACTCACTGCAACCTCTATCTCGAGTGATCCTCCCACCTCAGCCTCTTGAGTAGCTGGAACTACAGGCATGTACTACCATACCTGGCTAATGTTTGTTTTATTTTGTTTTGTAGACATGGGTTTCACTGTGTTGCCCAGGCTGGTGTCAAACTCTTGGGCTCAAGCCATCCACCTGGCTTAGCCTCCCAAAGTGCTGGGATTACAGGTGTGAGCCACCGCGCCTGGCCCATATATCCTTTTATCCTGATTTTTCACTAAACATTTGAAATATGTACTTTTCATTATTATATATCCTTTTCATTACTACATACATTTTAGAGGCTGTATAATATTACATTCTGGGTATGCCTTAATTTGCTTAACATTCTTTTGTCATTTATAATTTTTCACTGTTAAAACCATGCTGTCAAATACCACATGTTCACATTTGTAAGTGGAAGCTAAACATTGGGTACTCATAGACATAAAGATGGCAACAACAGAAACTGGGGACTATTAGATGGAGGAGAAAGGAAGGAGGGGAATGGTTGAAAAACGGGTATTATATTCAATACTTGGGTGACGTGGGAACATTTGTACCCCAAACCTCAGCATTATACAATATACCCAAATAGCAAACCTGCACCTGTACCCCCTGTATCTAAAATAAAAGTTGGAAAAAGAAATAAAAATAGATAAATAGGAAAGGAAATGAAAAAACATGCTGCTAACATCATCTTTTTGTACGTGAATTTTTTAGTTTTTTTGGATTCTTTTTCACAGGATAAAATCCCAAGGATGTAGGCTCTGGCTCTGATAAGGACTTTTTAGTTTATTATGAATGGACTGAGAAGCTTCTGTGTGTCTGTGGTGGGGGCGATTGTCTAAAAACTGATTCCCCTTCCCTTTGTTTTTATGCTTTTGATTTTTTCAAGAAACTAGGTTATTTTCCCTGTAGAATGTCCCATATTTTGGATTCTTTGTTTATTGTCTATTTCTTGGTGGTTAACTTGTTGCTCTATCTCCTGGATTTCTTAAGAACTTTCCTCTAAAGTCTTAATTAGATTCAGGTTCAACATTCTTTGGGGGAAAGAATAAATATTTTATTAGTGGTTTTATATAGTTCATAGTGCATCCTATCAGGAGGGCATAATGTCTGATTGTCTCAAGCTGTAGATATTTTCATTAGTTTATTCTTGCCTTTCCACTTTTGGTGGTGTTCCTTTTGATGCACAGGAGATTTAAATTTTTTTTGTAGTTGAATTAATATTTTCCTTTTTATTTCATTGTAATTTCAGTTTCACTCTATTCATATTCATAGATTTGATAGTTATTGGCTGGGCATGGTGGTTCACACTTCTAATCCCAACACTTTGGGAGACTGAGGTGGGAGGATCACTTGAGCCCAGGACCTCGAGACCAGCCTGGGCAATACAGGGAGACCCCGTCTCTACAAATAAAATAATAAAAATTAGCTGGATGTGGAGGCACATGCCAGCAATTCCATCTGCTTGGAAGGCTGAGGCAGGAGGATTGCTTGAGCCCTGGAGGTTGAGGCTACAGTGAGCTGTGCTTGTGCCACTGCACTGCAGCATGGGTGACAGAGTGAAACCCTGTCTCAAAAATAAAAATTAAAATTAAAAATGTGACATTGATAATATCTTCTAAAATATTTTTATGAATTAACTTTTAAAATGTATTTTAATGTGTATTAAAGTTACTTATTACATATTTAATTAATTCATTCATTAATTTTGAGATGGAGTCTCACTCTGTTGCCCAGGCTGGAGTGCAGTGGTACAATCTCAGCTCACTGCAACTTCTGCCTCTCAGGTTCAAGCGATTCTTGTGCCTCAGCCTCCTGAATAGCTGGGAATACAGGCTTGTGCCACCATGCCTGACTAGTTTTTGTATTTTTAGTAGAGACAGGTTTTCACCATGTTGGCCAGGCTGGTCTCAAACTCCTGACCTCAAGTGATCTGGCTGGCCTCCCAAAGTGCTGGAATTACAGGCGTGAGCCATTGTGCCGGCCATATTTAGTAAATTTAAATC
This sequence comes from Homo sapiens, assembly GCF_000001405.40. NCBI lineage: Eukaryota > Metazoa > Chordata > Mammalia > Primates > Hominidae > Homo > Homo sapiens. Next base: position 31,543,867 of record NC_000012.12, on the reverse strand, counting down.
ACTTTTTATATGTTGTTTGTATCTTATGGATAGAGAGTAGATAGAGATGTGATATACTTGGAATTTATTTTGCTGTAGGGTAAGGATCTGAGTAGATTATTTTTCAAAAACCAGCCACATGTTCCAGTCTGTGTTTATTGAATAAACATTCCCTTTCTGTTTTCTAATTTTCCTTTTATTACATGCTAAGTAATTACATATACTAGTGTCTGTGGGCTTTCTCTTTTTTTCCTAGCAACTTGTTTGTATGCTGCTATACTTTTGATGATTGTCATAACGTTATAAGAGAATTTCTAATAGGACTAACCTTTTTCTAATTTCTCACCTTTTTTCAAAATGGTAGCACAGTATGTTTGATCTTAAACTTCCGTAACAGCCTAGTGGGTTTTTTTCCAGATAAAATTTTATAAGTCACTTACCTTATAAAAACTTTGAAAAGGTATCTATGCTGACAAGCAAGGAGCATAAATTACTTTTATAAAAAGTCAGATCTTAGTAGCAGGTACTGTCAAAGAAGCAAGCTAATGACTTGGAGTGTAAGGAGTGATACCACACACATCATCTTACTCCTAACATTTTCTGTTACAAAACATATGGAAACTCTACGTAGCAGTTTTGCATCTTTATGAACCATTTGGTATGAAATCTCTCTTGTTTTTTGAGACAAAGTCTCACTTTGTCACCAAAGCTGGAGTGCAGTGGCCCGGTCAACGCTCACTGTAGCCTCAACCTCCTGGAGTCAAGGGATCCTCCTGCCTTAGCCTACTGAGCCTCCCAGGTAGTTGGGACTACAGGCATGGGCTACCATGCCTGGCTAGTTTTTGTATTTTTTGTAGAGATTTAAGTGTTGTCTACCAAAAAAACCTTTTTTGTCTCACTACAACATTTTTTTCAGTACCATTTACTTATTTGAGACAGGGTCTGGCTCTGTCGCCCAGGCTGGAGTAATGGTGGCACAGTCTTGGCTCCCTGCAACTTCCACCTCCCAGGCTCAAGCCACCCTCCACCTCAGCTTCCTGAGTTGCTGGGACTGCAGTTGCATGCCACCACACTGAGGTAATTTTTATATTTTTTCATAGAGATGGGGTTTTGCTATGTTGCTCATGCTGGTCTCAAACTCCTGGGCTCAAAGAATCCACCCGTTTTGGCCTCCCAAAGTGTTGGGATTACAGGCATGAGCCACCGTGCCCTACCCATTTTTAAAAAATTTTAATTTTTGTGGATACATAGCAGATGTATATATTTATGGGTTACATGAGATATTTTTATACATGCATTCAATGCATAATAATCCCATCATGGAAGATGAGGTATCCATCCCCTCAAGCATTTATCATTTGTGTTACAAACAATCCAGTTATACTCTTAATTATTTTAAAATGTACAATTACATTATTTTTTTCCTATAGTCACCCTGTTGTGCTAGCAAATACTAGGTCTTATTCATTCTGTTTTTTTGTGCCCATTAACCATTCCCACTTTCCCCCATCCTACCTTCTACCCTTCTCAGCCTCTGGTAACTATCCTTCTACTTTCTATGTTCATGAGTTCAATTGTTTTAATTTTTTTTTTTTTTTTTTGAGACGGAGTCTCGCTCTGTTGCCCAGGCTGGAGTGCAGTGGTGCGATCTCGGCTCACTGCAACCTCCACCTCCCAGGTTCAAGTGATTCTCCTGCCTCAGCCTCCTGAGTAGCTGGGACTACAAGTGCCCACCACCACGCCCAGCTAATTTTTTTGTATTTTTAGTAGAGACAGGGTTTCACCGTATTGGCCAGACTGGTCTTGAACTCCTGACCTTGTGATCTGCCCGTTTTGGCCTCCCAAAGTGCTGGGATTACAGGCGTGAGCCAATGTGCCTGACCAGTTGTTTTAATTTTTAGCTCCCACAAATAAGTGAAAACATGTGAAGTTTGTCTTTCTGTGTCTGGCTTATTTCACTTAACATAATGACTTCCAGTTCAATCCACGGTGTTGCAGACAACAGGATCTCATTCTTTTTATGGCTGAATAGTGCTCCATTATGTATAAGTACCACATTTTCTTTATCCATTCATCTGTTGATGGACACTTAGGTTGCTTCCAAATCTTAGCTATTGTGAATAGTGCTGTAATAAACGTGGAAGTGCAGATATCGCTTCGATATACTGATTTCCTTTATTTTGGGTATATACCTAGGAGTGGGATCACTGGATCATATGGTAGCTCTATTTTTAGTTTTTTGAGGAACCTCCAAACTGTTCTCCATAGTGGTTGTACTAATTTACATTCCCACCAGCTGTCTACAAGGGTTCCCCTTTCTCCACATCCTTGCCAGCATTTATTATTGCCTGTCTTTGTATAAAAGCCATTTTAACTGGGATGAGATTATATCTCATTGTAGTTTTGATTTGCATTCCTCTGATAGTGATGTTGAGCAGCTTTTCGTATACCTGTTTGCCATTTGTATGTCTTTTGAGAAATGTCTATTCAGATATTTTGCCCATTTTTGATTGGATGATTAGATTTTTTTTCCTGTAGAGTTGCATGAGCTTCCTTATGTATTTTGGATATTAATCCCTTGCCAGATGGGTAGTTTCAAAATATTTTCTCCCATTCTTTGGGTTGTCTCTTGTTGATAGTTTCCTTTGCTGTGCAGAAGGTTTTTAACTTGATGTGATCCCATTTGTCCATTTTTGCTTTGGTTGCCTGTGCTTGTGGGGTATTACTCAAGAAATCCTTGCCCACTCCAGTGTTCTGGAGAGGTTCCCCAATGTTTTCTTTTAGTAGTTTCATAGTTTGAGGTCTTAAATTTAAGTTTTTAACCCATTTTCATTTGATTTTTTTTTTATATGGTAAGAGATACGGGGTCAACCTTCATTCTTCTGCGTAAAGATATCCAGTTTTCCCAGCACCATTGACTGAAGAGACTGTCCTTTCTCCATTGTATGTTCTCGGCACCTTTGTCTAAAGTGAGTTCACTGTAAATGTGTGGATTTATTTCTGCATTCTTTATTAGACTGTTTCACTGGTCTAATGTGTCTGTTTTTATGCCAGTATCATCCTGTTTTGGTTACTCTAACTGTAGTATAATTTGAAGTCAGGTAATAAAATTCCTCGTTTTGTTTTTTTCCTCAGGATAGCTTTGGCTATTCTGGGTCTTTTGTGGTTCCATGTAAATTTTAGGTTTGTTTTTTTCTCTTCTTTTCTTTTTTTTTTGGTGGGGGGGTTGGGGGGCGGGACAGAGTCTGACTGTGTCGCCCAGGCTGGAGTGCAGTGGCACAGTCTTGGCTCACTACAACCTCTGCCTCCCAGGTTCAAGCGATTCTTGTGCCTCAGCCTCCTGAGTAGCTAGGATTACAGGTAGTCGCCACCTCACCTGGCTAATTTTTGTATTTTTAGTAGAGACGATGTCTTACCATGTTGGCCAGGCTGGTCTGGAACTCTTGGCCTCAAGTGATCTGCCCACCTTGGCCTCCCAAAGCACTGGGATTGCAGGCATGAGGCATCACGCCTGGCCTAGAATTGTTTTTTCTACTTTTGTGAAGAACATTATTGGTATTTTTATAGGGATTGCATGAAATCTGTAGATTGCTTTGGGGAGAATGGGCATTTTAACAATATTGAGTTTTCCAACCCATGAATATGGAATGTCTTTCCAGTTTTTTGTGTCCTTTTCAATTTCTTGCTCCAGTGTTTTAGTTTTCATTGTAGGGACTTTTCACTTATTTGGTTAGTTCCTAGGTATTTAATTTTATTTGTAGTTATTGTAAATGGGATTACTTTCTTGATTTCTTTTTTAGATTGTTTGCTATTGGCCTATAGAAATGCTAGATTTTTGTAGGTTGATTTTGTATCCTGCAGCTTTACTGATTTTGTATGAGTTCTAATAGTTTTTTGGTGGAGTCTTTAGGTTTTTCCAAATACGAGATCATATCATCTGCAAACAAGGATAACTTGACTCCTTCCTTTCCAATTTGGATACCCTTTATATCTTTCTCTTGTCTGATTGCTCTAGCTAGGACTTCTAGTACCGTGTTGAATAACAGTGGTGAAAGTGGATATCCTTGTTGTATTCCAGATCTCAGAGGAAAGGTTTTTTTTTTTCCTCATCAGTATGATACTAGCTGAGAGTCTGTCATATATGGTGTAATTATATTAAGATATGTTTCTTCTATACCAAGTTTTTTTAAGGTTTTTATTATGAAGGGATGTTGAATGTTATCAAGTGCTTTTTAAGCATCCATTGAAATGATCATATGGTTTTTGTTCTTCATTTTGTTGATATGATGATATATCAGATTGATTGATTTGCATATGTTGAACTATCCTTGCATCCCTGGGATAAATCCTATTTAGTCATGATGAATGATCTTTTTAATGTGTTGTTGAATTTGGTTTGCTAGTATTTTGTTGAGGATTTTTGCATCAATTTTCATCAGTGATATTGGTCTGTAATTTTTTTTCTTTTAATATGTAATATGTCTTTGATTTTGGTATACAGGCCTCATAGAGTGAGTTTGGAATTATTCCCTCCTCCTCTAGTTTTCAGAATAGTTTGAGTAGGATTGGTATTCGTTCTTTAAATGTTTGGTAGACTTCTGTAGTGAAGCCATCAGGTCCCAGGCTTTTCTTTACTGGGAGATTTTTTATTATGGCTTTGATGTTGTTGCTTGTTATTGGTTTGTTCAGGTTTTGGATTTCTTCATGGTTCAATCATGGTAGGTTGTAGTATCTAGGAATTTATCCATTTTCTCTAGATTTTCTCATTTATTGGCATATAGTTGATCATAGCAGCCACTAATGATCCTTTGAATTTCTGTGGTATCAGTTGAATGTTTCCTTCTTTATCTCTGGTTTTACTTAGTTGTGTCTTCTCTTTTTCTTAGTCTGTCTAGCAGTTTGTCAATTTTTTTTTTCAAAAAAAAAAAAACCTTTTGTTTCATTGAAGTTTTGTATTTTTTTTGTTTCAGTTTCACTTATTTCTGCTCTGATCTTTATTTTTTGTTTTGTTTTGTATTTTGAGATGAAATCTCACTCTGTTGCCCACCCTGGAGTGCAGTGGCACAATCTCGGCTCACTACAACCTCCACCTCCCAGGTTCAAGCTATCCTCCTGCCTCAGCCTCCCGAGTAACTGAGATTACAGGTGCACACCACCATGCCCGGCTAATTTTTTTGTATTTTTAGTAGAGATGGGGTTTCACCAAGTTGTCCAGGCTTGTCTTGAACTCCTGACATCAAGTGATCCACCTGTCTCAGCCTCCCAAAGTACTGGGATTACAGGCGTGAGCCACTGCGCCTGGCCTGATTTTTATTATTTCTTCTACTAATTTGGGGTTTGGTTTGCTCTTGCTTTTCTAGTTCTTTAATATACATCATTAAATAGTTGTTTATTTGAGGTTTTTTTCTTTTTTGATGTAGGCACTTATAGCTATAAACTTGCCTCTCAGTACTGCTTTTGTTGTATCCCATAGCTTTTCGTATGTTGTGTTTCCTTTATCATTTATTTCAAGAAAATTTTCAATAATTCCACTTATTATTGATCTCTAGTTTTATTCTATTGTGGTCAGAGAAGATGCTTTATATTATTTCAGTTTTTTTAAATGTTTTAAGACTTGTTTTGTGACATAACATATGGTCCATCCTTGAGAATGATCCATGTGCTGAGGAAAAAGAATGTGTACTCTGCAGCTTTGGGATGAAATGTTATGTATGTATCTATTAGGTCCATTTGGTCTGATTAGGTCCATTTGGTACAGATTAAGTCTGATGTTCATTGATTTTCTCTCTGGAAGATCTGTCCAACGCTGAAAATGGGATGTTGAAGTTACCAGCTATTATTATATTGGGGTCTGTCTCTCTTTTTAGCTGTAACAATATTTGCTTTATGTATCTGGGTGCTCCAACACTGGTATATGGATCCAGTGTTGGGTCCATATACAATTACAATTGTTACATCTTCTTGCTGAATTGCCCCCTTTATCATTATATAGTGACCTTCTTTGTCTCTTCTTATAGTTTTTGTCTTGAAATCTATTTCGTCTGATATACGTATAGCTACTCCTAGTCTTTTTTGATTTCCATTGTCATGGAATGTGTTTTTCCATCCTTTTATTTTCAGTCTATGTGTGTCTTTGTAGGTGAAATGTGCTTCTTGTAGGCAACAGATCACTGAGTCTTGTTTTTTTGTTTTTTGTTTTTTTAATCCCTTCAGCCACTCTGTCTTTTTATTGGAGAATGTAGTCCATTTACATTCAGTGTTGTTATTGATGAGCAAGGGCTTATTCCTTCCATTTTGTTACTTATTTTCTGGTTGTTTTATGGGTCTTGTCTTCCATCCTTCCTCCCTGTCTTCCTTTTAGTGAAGGTAATCTTCTCTGGTGGTATGATTTTAATTTCTTATTTTTTATTTTCAGCGTATCTGTTGTATGTTTTTTGATTAGAGGTTACCATGATGCTTGCAAATACTATCTTATAACCTATTATTTTACACTGATAGCCTAACACTGTTTTCATAAACACACAAGCAAAAAGAAAACTAATAAAAACTCTACACCTTAACTTCATCCCCCTGCTTTCTAACTTTTTGTTGTTTTTATTTATATCTTATTGTACTGTCTGTGTCTTGAAAAGTTGTTGTAGTTATTTTTGATTTATCTTTTAGTCTACTTAAAATAAGAGTAATTTACACACCACAGTTACAGTGTTATTCTGTGTTTCTCTATATAATTACTGTTACCAGTGAGTTTTGTACCTTGAGATAATTTCTTAATGCTCATTAGTGTCCTTTTCTTTCTGATTGAAGTACACCTGTTAGCATTTCTTCTAGGCTAGATCTGGTGTTGATGAAATCCCTCAGTGTTTGTTTGTCTGGGAAAGTCTTTATTTCTCTATGTTTGAAGTATATTTTAGCCAGATAAATTATTCTGGGGTAAAAGTTTTTTTCCTTCAGCACTTTAAATATGTTATGCAACTCTCTTCTGGCCTGTAAGGATTCCACTGAAAATCTGCTGCCAAATGTATTGGAGTTCAGTTGTATATTGTTTCTTTTCTGTTGCTGCTTTTAGGATTCTTTCTTTATCCTTGACCTTTGGGAATTTGATTATGAAATGGCTTGAGATAGCTTTCTTTGGGTTAAATCTGCTTGGTGTTCTGTAATCTTCTTATATTTGGATATTGATAACCTTTCCTAGGTTTCTGCTATTATTTCTTTGAATAAACTTTTTTTTTTAAATACATCTTCTATTCCTATCTCTTTTTCTGCCTCCTCCTGAAGACCAGTAACTCTTAGGTTTGCCCTTTTGAGGCTATTTTCTAGATCTTGTAGGTGTACTTCATTCTTACTCTTTTTTCTTGTGTCTCCTCTGACTGTATTTTCAAATAGTCTGTCTTCAGGCTCACTAAATCTTTCTTCTGCTTGATCCTTCTGCTATTAAAAAACTCTGATGCATTCTTCAATATGTCAGTTGCATATTTCAACTCCAGAATTTCTGCGTAGTTCTTTTTTAATTATTTAAATCTCTTTGTTAAATTTTTCTGATAGAATTCTGAACTCCTTCTCCGTGTTATCTTGAATTTTGTTGAGTTTTCTCAAAACAGCTATTTGAATTCTCTGTCTGAAAGGTCACTGTATTAGTCCATTCTCGCATTGCTATAAATATCTGAGACTGGGAAATTTATAAATAAAAGAGGTTTAATTGGCCTATGTTTCCACAGGCTGTACAGGTAACGTGATTCTGACATCTGCTCGACTTCTGGGGGTGCCTCAGGAAACTTAGAATCATGGTGGAAGTCAAAGTGGGAGCAAGACGTCTCACATGATTAGAAGCAGGAGGAAGAGGGGCGGAGAGCTGCTACACACTTCTAAACAACCAGATCTTGCGATAACTCACTATCAGGAGGAACAGTACCGAGGGGATGGCTCTAAACCATTCGTCAAGGACCACCCTCATGATCCAGTCGCCTCCCACCAGGCCCCACCTCCAACATTGGAGATTATAATTTGACATGATATTTGGTGGGGATACAGATTCAAACCATATCAGTCACATATCTCTGTTTCTCCAAGATTGGTCCTTGCTACCTTGTTTAGTTCATTTGGTGAGGTCATGTTTTCCTGGATGGTCTTGATACTTGCGGATGTTTGTTGGTGTCTGGGCATTGAAGAGTCAGGTATTTACTGTAGTCTTTGCAGTCTAGACTTTTTTTTTACCCACTCTTCTTAGGAAGGCTTTCCAGGTATTTGAACTTGGGTATTGAGATCTAAGCCGTGTCTGCCTTAGGGGGCATCCCAAGCCCAGTAACCTGTGGTTCTTGCGGATTTGTAGAGTTACCACCTTGGTAGTTTCGGATAAGACCTGGATGAATTCTCTGGATTACCAGGCAGAGACTCTGGTTCTCTTCGCTTACTTTCTCCCAGACAAACTGAGTCAGAGTGTGTGTGTGTGTGTATGTGTATATATGTGTGTGTGTGTGTGTGTCTCTCTCTCTCTCTTTCTCTGTGCTAATTCACCTGGAGGTGGGGTGGGGTGACAGAGTCACCCCTGTGGCTACCACCACTGGGACTGTGCTGGGTCAGACTGGAAGCCATGAGTATATCTTTATCCCTAGTGTTCATTAAGTAGCCTGCAGTGGACACTTAGGTCCCTGAGCTGATAGCACAAGAGGCAGATGTTCATGCAGTGATGGCGGATGGCTGGACACCCCTGCACAGTACTTGCAAGTGGTACCAGAGTGGCTTCTTTCTTACCTCAGTGTGATGCAGATATCAATGCCCAAACAAAAGCCTTTTTTTTTTTTTTTTTTTTTTTTTTTTTGAGACAGAGTCTTGCTCTGTCACCCAGGCTTGGGTGCAGTGGTGCAATCTGCGCTCACTGCAACCTCCACCTCCCAGGTTCAAGCTATCTTCCTGCCTCAGCCTCCCAAGTAGCTGGGACTACAGGCACACGCCGCCACACCCAGTTAATCAAACCAAAGCCTCTTGACCCCTTTGCATCTTGCTGCTGGGAAAGGAGACAGCAAAGATAACCTAGAACTCCTCCTGATGAACCATTACATCAAACCAGGGCTGAAAAACAACTTCAAAGAAACGGCATTTGATATTGCCAGGAGGACAAGTATCTATCACTCCTTCTTTGTAATGGTGGAAGGCTATACAAATTCTTCACCTCAGTCTTAATGGTTCTAGTAATTTTAGGTGTCTAAGTACCAGTGGCTCCTTCGTGCAAGATATAAAATATTCCCATAAGACAAAGTTGATTTAAAACGTCTTACTACAAAAATTCAGTGGTAAGGTAGTTACTATTATGTTCTTTAAAGTGAAATGCCTGACCTGATATCAGAATGTATTTGAAAGATGTTTGGATATATCTTTAATTATTTTTGTGGAGCTCGTGATTTTTATCAGAGATAATTTTAACTTGCCTAGACCTAAAAACTTGACATGACTTTGGGAGGCCGAGGCAGGCAGATCACTTGAGGTCAGGAGTTCGAGACCAGCCTGGCCAACATGGTGAAACCCTGTCTCTACTAAAAATACAAAATAAAAGTAAAAATAAAAATAAAAAGCTGAGTATCGTGGCACATGTCTGTAATCCCAGCTACTTGGGAGGCTGAGGCATGAGAATCGCTTGAACCTGGAAGGCAGAGGTTGCAGTAAGCCGAGATCGCACCACTGCACTCCAGCCTGGGCCACAAAGTGAGACTCAGCCTCAAAAAACCGACAAAAAAAAAACTTGACACAAGTTGAACAGAAACTGATTATTTTTGGTGCTGATCCAAGAGAAATGTATTTTTAAATACTGTACATCCTGGATCTTTGTTGAGTATTTAGTATATTGATATATATTTTTATAAGGTGAGGTAACTCAAAATTTAAGTCTTAAATATTGATGCAGTCATCTGTCTTCTCTACATTACCATAGCCAGTTACTTTCATTTTAAACCAGAAGAACTAACATATTAGTGACTTGAATCTTCATAAGTTAAAGGAAAAAAAAAAAACACTAAAAAGCCTAGATGTTTGTCTTTTAGACAATAGATAATTTTTAGGAAAGCAGTTAGCTAGGTGTTTCATCCATGAATGTTGTATACTGCCTCCCCTACCACAGTTCACACAATTCTGTGGATAGTCCTCCCTGGTCAACCTACATGTGATCTTTATTCTAATGGTGAATCAGTATGACCTTTTAGACATGCATACAACTACATTGTGGTCAAAGAGATCATAGTGTATCTGCCATCCAACTGCTTTTACCTGCCTAATCCTGCTGATTTGGGCACTGCTTACATAATCTCTTGAGTTCACAGGAAATGTTGATTTTCCAAGGTCTTTGTTTTATAGAAACCTTACAAAGCAAAGTGATAAGGGAAAAGGAATTCTAAAAGTGAGGGGATGATTATTATATTGAGGCTGAAACCACACAGTGGCTCAGGCTTAAAAACAGTATGGATAGTGACAAAAAGCATAATATAAACATTCAAGAAAATAAAGTATAAGTTTTAACAACAAAAATGATTTCTAGATTACTTACAATAGCTAATACAATGTAAATGCCATGTAAATAGCATGTACTGTATTTTTTATTTGTTGTACTGTATTTTTTGTTGTTGTATTGGCTTTTTAAATTGTTTTTTTTTCTTCAAATATTTTCAATCCACAGTTGGTCATATCTTCAGATGCAGAACTGTGGATTTGGAGAGCCTGCTGTAATAGGAGGGCAAATTTAAGCATTCATATTTTAACAATATTTAATAGCTCACAATATTTAATGTGAGCTTATTTACATGTAGTTTCTTTAATCAGATCAAAAGGATGATTATCCAATGACTTGTGCAAGCTCTTAGTCTCCAAAGCTTAGGAAAGAACTGCAGGTGATGTAGTCCAAGTCAATGAAATAAGCCTCAGAAAACCGATGCCTACAAATTGTGACTTGTTAAAATCAGAGTCCTGTTTATAATGTCTGAACCCAGAACTTGATCCTAGGTCTTCTGGTCCCACGGGAACCTTTTCTCTCATTGTACAAAATAATTCAGCCAGTGAAATAATCATCAACATATCTGAGATGGAACATGCTTTCATTTCAAACCAGATCCTCTTCCAGCCTTCCGTTTTTGAACAAGTTGGTACCACAATCTAACTAGTTGCCAAAGCCAGAAACTTAGAAGTTCTGAATACTTTATTTTTCCCAATTCCCCCATATCTAATTTTATCCTCAATAACTTATCAGGTACCATCAATTTTATCTCCTGTATAGGTCTCAAATCTACCTGCTTCTCTCTATCATTCTCCCACCTCCCTATTTCACTACTATATAACTCACTAATTTTCTCACAGGTCTATCCTGACCATTCTCCCATCTGTGTTCTCCATAGTGAAGCCAGAATGATCTTTTTAGAATGAGAATTTTTCCCCCTCCCTGCCTGGTCTCTTCTACACCACTTAAAGCCACCTCAGTGATTTTTCCATTGCTGTTATATTGAGGTCTATGAGCCTAAATATGTTAGCAAGCCCTGCCCACCCTCTTGTCTTAAACCTCCCCTCTCTTCCTGTATCTTTGCCCTCCAGACACATTGGGCTTATTTTGATTTTGGAATGCTTCTTACCTACTCCCCCTATCCCCCAGTCTTTGCCTAATTAATGACTAATTATTCTTTAAGTCCTAGGTCAGGCATCTGTCACTCAGGGAAGTCTCTGACATCCCAGAGTACTCCATGCCACCCCTTTATTTTAATCAACATTAAGTAAACTGTGCTTCTTTCTTCAGAGAATTATCTCAGTTTATAGCCATGTAGTCATAATTGCATTCCTTTGATTAATGTCAGTCTTCTCCCCAAACTGGAAATTCCATGAGAGCAGGCATTTGTTATTTTTTGTCCCCTGGTGTATTTTTTTATTTTCTATTATATTTCCAGTACACAGCACAGTGAAATGGCTCCATAAACGTTACCTGAGTAAGTGAAGTAATTCTCTGTAAGGTCTGGCTGAAGACCTTCATGTCTCCAAATAAGTAGCCTACAAGTATCTCTCTATTCTGATTTTACTTCTAGGCCAGTTCCAGCTTTTCTGTTGTAGTGAGTAGAATGGAGATATAAGCTCAGTTTCTGCTGGGCGGATCAAGGAAGTTGCAGGGTCCGTCAGTATTTAAGTGAATTTTGAACTTAATGAGATTCTTCAATTCATTCTGGAAGGAATGTAATTCTGGGTTGACTATAGCCACAATAGCATGATGCCAGGAATCAGGACTTAAAAGACTTTTCTTATGGAAGTAACTTCTGACTCAAACCCTAAAGTAAACCTATAGTGCTTACTGTCAGTCCAAGGAGTTCATCTCAGAAAAAAAAATCATTTTACCATAGTATATGTGAATTAAATGAGTTAATACAAGTTAGAGCTGGCTGGGCACGGTGGCTCACGCCTGTAATCCCAGCACTTTGGGAGGCTGAGGCAGATCCCTTGAGGTCAGGAGTTCGAGACCAGCCTGGCCAACATGGCGAAACACTGTCTCTACTGAAAGTACGAAACTTAGCGGGACGTAGTGGCATGCGCCTGTAATCCCAGCTACTTGGGAGGCTGAGGCAGGAGAATGGCTTGAACCCAGGAGGCGGAGATTGCAGTGAGCCGAGACTGCGCCATTGCACTCCAGCCTGGGTGACAGAGCGAGACTCCGTCTCAAAGTAAAAAGGAAAAAAAAAAAAAGTTAGTTCTAAGAACAGTTATTAACTCGTAGTAGGATATAAAAGTGTTAGGTAATGTGTGTAGAGCCAAAGAGACTTTGAGTCAACATTATGCCTAATATTAAATGTATTAAGAACATTTTAATTCAGGAAAGCATGCATTTCTTTGAACACTGCATAATGAACTGTGTTGAAAATAATTACTTAGCCTGTTTCTGCTTCCCTTTTGTGTTTCGGACCTTTCTCAATTTTACCTATTCTTATTATAATTTAAAAGCCCTTTTGAGATCCCTAGAGTAAAATAGGAGATGAATCTTGGCTGATTACTAGAAATAGAAAGATTTTAGCTGATTACCTCACTGGCAACTTTGATAGCAGCAACTTAAACTTGAGATCCCAGGCTTGGGTTCCTCTAAGGCTTAAAGCTTTCAGAAGTAAATGTACTTATTTTGTTAAGGAAATTCTTTGGAGACTCTTTTCATTAAATAATTTTCATTATGTCTGAACATGGCTTTAACTTGCCAAATTTCCCTTCTTTGTTTAGTATAATTATTTTTAAAGAGCGTGAAAATGTGTATTCTATTTTTAAAATTTAATATTTTTTCAGTGCTGACATATTCAACTATGATTTATTTTGATTTTCAGGTCTTTAGCAATGTTAATTCAAACCTGAGAGTTTTAAACTATGTTGGAATAATGGATACCATTGAGAATATAGTAAAATGTTTTGAACCTTCTTTCTAGAAAAATGTTTGCATATTCAAAATATTGTATACAGTGTTTCACTTTTCACAAATAATCCTGAAACTGATTCATATATTGTTTTTATTTTTATTTTTTTCGAGATGGAGTCTTGCTCTGTCACCCAGGCTGGAGTGCAATGGCACGATCTTGGCTCACTGCAACCTCCACCTCCTGGGTTCAAGCCATTCTCCTGCGTCAGCCTCCCAAGTAGCTGGGACTACAGTCATGGGCCACCACGCCCAGCTAATTTTTGTATTTTTAGTAGAGACAGGGTTTCACCATGTTGGCCAGGCTGGTCTCGAACTCCTGACCTCAAGTGATCTGCCCGCCGCTGCCTCCCAAAGTGCTGGGATTACAGGCATGAGCCACCGCGCCCGGCTGCATGTATTTTTTTTAAATGTTGCTCCTCTTTAGATATGTGACTAGTATATTTTCATTTAGTTAACATGTCCAGTTGTATTCAGTTTCATTAAAATTGATTTATAGTGCTATGGTGTTTAATTTGTATAACACAAAGTTTCTAGATCCTTCTTCTGGAAGCAGTAATAAAATAAAAAAGTGCAGTTGTGCTAAGTGCATTTTTGGGAGAATGCAGCATTTTAAGCCATGGCTATTCATATGGCAATTATAGCAGTTTTTATCACTCTGTGTTTTAAAAATGTAAGAGATTCTTAATAAAAACTGATGTGATTTTGTGTTGGGCATTTTTTAAAGGATGTTTTCTTTTTTAAAAAAAATTATTTTTAAATTTTTATTTATTTATTTATTTTGAGACTGGGTTATGAGACTGGCCAATTTTTGTATTTTTGGTAGAGATGGGGTTTCACCATGTTGCCCGGGCTGGTTTCGAACTCCAGGGCTCAAGCGATCCCCCCACCTTGGTCTCCCAAAGTGAGGTGTGAGCCACCGTGCCCAGCCTAAAGGATGTTTTCTTGAGTGATGGCTGTTGAATTATTTTGGTAGGACTTGGAATGCTTTTGTGGAATGTTTAAGTGGAATATTGGTTCTAAGTTTCCTATCTCAGGGATCCTGGACCTGCCATTTGATTAGCTGCATACATTTTTAAATTGAGGGGAACCAGAAAATCTTCCAAGATCTTTGAGTGCTGTGGACTCCTTTGGATGCAGTTTTCTTAGAGAACTGCTGGGTCCATCCAATCTTAGGATGACTGAGGTTATAAGATTTTCTCTAGTTTTTTTCTGCCCTGTCAGGCATCTTGTGATTTCATAGATTGCTGTCATCATCTTCTCCCTTGGTTATCTCATCCAATACCTCATGCCTTTTTTCTTTTCTTTTTTTTTTTTTTTTGAGACAGAGTTTCGCTCTGTTGCGCAGGCTGGAGTTTAGTGGCGCTATCTTGGCTCACTGCAACCTCCGCCTCCCGAGTTCAAGCAATTCACCCTACCTTAGCTTCCTGAGTAGCTGGGATTACAGGCACCCGCCACCAGACCCAGCTAATTTTTGTGTTTTTTAGTAGAGACGGGGTTTCACCATGTTGGCCAGGCTGCTCTTGGACTCCTGACCTCAGGTGGTCGCCTGCCTCGGCCTCCCAAAGTGCTGGGATTACAGGCATGAGCCACCGTGCCTGACCCTCATGACTTTAATATGATCCAATATCAGCTCTTTACAAATGAGTCCTAAATCTACCTCTCTAGCTCAGACCTCCCTCCTGAAATCCAGACTTAAATTTATCTGACTGCTGTCTTAACATCTCCAGTTAGAATTGGCATCTCAAAATCAGTATGTTCAAAACTGGATTCCTATTGTTTCCTCAGAAATGTAATCTTCCCTTTGTCAGTTGACAGTGCAGTCTCTCAAAAGCCTTGCACGCTTTCTTTATTACTCTCTTTGTATCATACTCCGTGTTTGGTCTGTTCGTATTATTGCCTCACCCTTCAAAATATATCCAGAATTCAAATACATCTCACTATCTCCGCTGCTACACCTTGGTCAGAGATACTTTTACCTCTTAGGTAGATTAAATGTCAGGTCGTAATACCTGGAACCTGAATGTTACATTATTTGGAAAAAAAATATCTTTACAGATGTGATTCAGGATCTTGAGATGCGGAGATTATCCTGGTTGGCTCTAAATGCTATCACATGCACCCTTCTAGAGAGAGGCAAAGGGAAGTTTGACACACGCAGGAGGAAGTGATGTGAAGACAGGCAGAGTTTGGAGTGATGCAGCTGTAAGCCAAAGAATGCGCATAGCAACCAGAACTTGGAAGAAACAAGAAATGAATTTTCCCCTAGACCGTCTGGAGGGAGTTCGGCCTTGCTGACACCTTGATTTCAGACCAGTAATACTGATTTCTGACTTCTGGCCTCCAGAACTGTGAAAGAATAAGTTTCAAGCCATATCGTTTGAGGTCATTTGTTACAGCAGCCATTGGAAATTAATACATTCTCCTGTTTAGGATTTCAGTCAAGGTTGTTCATTATGTTCGGTTGTTATGGCCTTGTTAATCTAAAATAATCTCCCTCACCTTTTTTGTTTTTCATGACACTGACTGTTTTTAATTTAAAGAGTCTAGGCATATTGTCTTGCAGACTATCCCACGTTGTGGAATTACCTGATTGTTTCCTCATAATTAGATTCACATTAAACATTTTTTCCAAGAATACCATATAGGTGATGTTGCATAAAGCCTATTATTAATACAACTGTCAGAGTGATTTTTTTTTTTCCCCAAATGGAGTCTTGCTCTGTCACGCAGGCTAGAGTGTAGTGGCATGATCTCAGCTCACTGCAACCTCCACCTCCCGGGTTCAAGCAGTTCTCCTGCCTCAGCCTCCCGAGTAGCTGGGATTACAGGTGTGGGCCACCATGCCTAGCTAATTTTTGTATTTTTAGTAGAGACAGGGTTTCACCATGTTGGCCAGGCTGGTCTCGAACTCCTGACCTCATGATCCGCCCGCCTCGGCCTCCCAAAGTGCTGGGATTATAGGCATGAGCCACCACGCCCAGCCTGGAGTGATTCTTTCAAAGCGCAGCATTCCTCTGTTTGAAAGTCTCCAGTGACTTCCCATTTGTTCAGAGGAAAAGCCAGATCCCTCATATGATCTGGCCGCCCGTAACCTCTGGAGCTTTCTCTCCTCTTCACTCATTATATTGCTTTTGTCTTGCTCTTTTCCAGACAATCTGAGCATGCTCCTGTCTTATGATCTTTGCTTTAGCTGTTCTGGTTGCCTGGAAAGCTCTTCCCCCCAAGGATCTTTTGGCTCACTGTCTCACCTCCTTCATGTCTGCCTAAATGCCCTGTGTCAGTGAGTCCTTTCCAGATGACTATTTTTAAAATTGTGATTCTCCACCTGCTTCCCAGTGCTGATCCCTCAATGCTCTTTACTGTCATGTTTTTCCATATCACCCTCTCTCATACCGTGTAACTTATTTATTATGTTTATTGTTTATTGCCTGTTTTCCCTACTGAACTATAAGCACCATGGTGGCAGGAATCTTTGTTTTGTTCCCAGAGTCATCCCAGAATGTTATGTTCATAGCAGGCACAAAATAGTTTGTTGAATGGATGAATATGAAAATACTTTAGATTAATATATCCTTCTTTGCCTTAATTCACAGTAGAGTCACAACAGTATTTTGAAATAACTTTGGATTTGCGGAAGAGTTCCAAAGACAGTGTAGAATTCCTGTTTACCCTTCACCCAGTTTCTCCAAATGTTAACGTTTCACATAACCATGGTACATTCATCAAAACTAAGAAATTAACATTGGAATAATACTGTTAACTAAACTCCAGGCTTCATTTGGATTTCGTGAATTTTTCCACTAATACCCTTTTTCTGTTCCACTGTCCAATCCAGGATACCACATTGCATTTAGTTATGTCTCTTTAGTCTCCCCTAATCTCTGCAGAGACTACTTCTTAAAGGATTCTTGTGGATTATTTGCTCAAGTGAATATTTCTTTTATTTATTTATGCCTCAGCATTCACATCGTGAATATTTCTAAAGGAAGGAAAGGTTGTAAAACTTAGGAGCACTAGAATATATAGCTACAGGGCATTGTTGAACTTTAGACAAGATCATAGGATTTGACATGTTTTCTGGGTCAAATGCAGAGTTTATCTAGCGTCTTCTCTTCTGCCATCAGAGCTTCCCAATCCTTTCATGTTGTCATTTGAAGAGGTGAATCCTAGCCTAACCATTAACTGTTTGTGACATTTTAATGGGTAAATGTAAATATTTCTGTAGTAAAGACGTGTTAGGTACCTACCCTGTGTAATGAACTGTATCGAATTCCTCCTTGTGAAGGGGGATGTAAAGAAATTTGAGTAAGTTTTTTACTAGCCTGGGTTCTAATATAGGTAATATATAACTAACAGACTGTAATAACAACTGGTTTGACAGCACAGAGGAAATTATTAATGTTAACTGGGTGAGGTGAGAAATAGGGAGAAGATCACATTTAAACTTGCCCTTAAAGTATTAATAGAATTTTTTAAAAAATTTATTCGAGACAGGGTTTCACTTCCACTGCTCAGATTGGAGTGCAATGGTGCAATCTCAGCTCACTGCAGCCTCTGCCTCCTGGGCTTAAGCAATTCTCCCACCTCAGCCTCTGGAGTAGCTGGGACCACAGGCACTTGCTACCACACCTGGCCAATTTTTATATTTTTCTGTAGAGAAGGGGTTTCTCCATGCTGCCCAGGCTGGTCATGAGCTCCTCAGCTCAAGCCAATCCACCCATCTCAGCCTCCCAAAGTGCTGGGATTATAGTGTGAGCCACCGTGCCTGACCTCATAGAATTTTTTTAAATGGCTTTATTGAGATATTATTAACGTATACATATCAAATGCACCATTTAAAGCAAACAATTCAATTGCTATGCATATATTCACAGAGTTGTGCAACCATTCCACAATAAATGTTAGAACATCTTCATCAGCCACAAAAGAAACCCCATACCTGTGTTCACTCCCCATTCTCCCCTTCACTCAGCTCCTGGCAACACATATTCTTTATATGTCTGTAAATTTGCCTATTCTGGTATTTCATATAAATAGAATTGTACAGTATGTGTCTGACATCTTTCACTTTGCATATTTTCAAGATTCATCCACATTGTAGCACTCATCAGTACTACATTCCTATTTATGGCCAGATATTCTATTTTATAGAAGTATATTTTAGTTTTTCATTCATCAGTTGATGGAAATTTAGGTTGTTTCTACTTTTGGGCTATTATGAATAATGCTGCTATGAACATTCAGATTTTTGCATGGACAGACATGTTTTTATTAATGTTGGGTATATACTATGTTTAACCACTTGAAGAATTAGCAGACTTTTTCAAAGCAGTTATTATTTTACATTTCCACCAGCAATGGATGAGGGTTCCAATTTCTTTACATCTAAGCCAACATGTGTTAATGTCTGTCTTTTCTATTTTGGTCATGCAAGTGGGTGTGAAGTGGTATCTCATTGTGGTTTCGATTTGTATTTCCCTAATGACTAATGATGTTGCATCTTTTCATGTGCCTATTGGTCATTTGTGTATGTTCTCATGAGGTGTATCATTTTAGTAGATGAAGAAAGGGGAATGGAAGGGAGCAAGAGAACAGGGACAAAGGCCTGAGAAATGGTGAGAGAATCAGTAAAAGAGAGTAGGGCTCTCAGATGATAGGAGTTAAGAGAGGACTATAGAAAACTGGGTCTCTAAGCTGATGTGTCAAGTCACACTGTCCTCTGCTTATCCTAAGCTTACCTTGCTCAAATTTCTTTTTTTTTCTTTTTCTTTGTTTTTGGTTTTTATTTTTTCTTAAATTTCAAGGATATTCCTTCTTTTGTAAATGTCACAGAGTATCATGGCTCTGTCGCCGAGGCTGGAGTGCAATGGTGCAGTCTCAGGTCACTGCAACCCCTGCCTTCCAGGTTCAAGCGATTCTCCTCCCTCAGCCTCCCAAGTAGCTGGGATTACAGGCACATGCCATCATGCCCGGCTAATTTTTGTATTTTTGGTAGAGATGGGGTTTCACCATGTTGGCCAGGCTGGTCTGGAACTCCTGACCTCAGGTGATTTGCCCACCTCAGCCTCCCAAAGTGCTGGGATTACAGGTGTGAGCCACCGTGCCCGTCCCAACCAGGCTTCTTAAATGAATTCTAAGATAGAAACAACAGGAGCTTCCAGGACTCTCTTAAGGGCTGAACCTAGGACTGTCACAGTGACATTTCTGCCATATTCTGCTGGTCACAAGGCAAGCCCAAATTCAAAAGGAGAGAAATAGACCTCTTAGAGTTTCCTAATAAAAGGTAATTTCATTAAAAATACAATTCATAAATTAGCCCTATGTTTACTACTGTCTTTTCAGCTCTTTTTTTATTCCATGCATTAATTGATTCGTCACCACTTGGATTGTGCCACCAATGTTTCTATGACATGATCTAAAAAAAAAAAAAAAAAAAAAAGGGCTCAGTAGTTTTCACTTAAAAGACAAAGAGGCCCACTGAGCTATTACAGATGTTAATTAGGATTCATTTACTTTAATATGGTAGAAAGAATGCTATGATACCACTTTAGTGATGAACAAAATAAGCTTAATCACATCCTAGGAGCTAAGTATTCTGACATTATAATCTCTTCTCTCAGAGTCCCATCACAGCAGTCTTAGGATTCAAGATCTATTCTTGGGAAACATTATAGAACCAGTGTGTCATGTACATACAAATGAGGGAAAATATAATGGCTTTGGTAATCCTGTAGTTATCTTTCTTGTCATATACTCTTTTTTTCATTTTTAAAAATTGGGGCAAAATTTATATAACATAAAGTTAACCATTCTGAAGTGTACAATTTAATGGCATTTAATACATTCACAGTGTTGTACGACTTTTTTTTTTTTGAGGAAAAGCATATTTTTAGGATAATGTCAAAACAGATTAATAAGATGCTAATAAGATGGCCAGACATTCACTCAGAAGTGTTTTTTGTTTTGTTTTGGTGAAATGGTATGAGAGATATGTTGCCTTACACTTAGGCCACTGCATTCCCGCTTAAGTGCCAGGATTGTGTCAGCAACAGGATGGCCTAAACAATCTCAGTCTTGTCTCCTGCCAGCCCCCTAAATCTTCCAGAATTGCAAGAATAGGCCAGGTGTGGTGGCTCACACCTGTAATCCCAACACTTTGGAAGGCCAAGGCAGGCGGATCACTTGAGGCCAGGAGTTTGAGACCAGCCTGGCCAACATGGCAAACCCCCATCTCTACTAAAAATACAAAAATTAGCCAGGCAGGTGTGGTGGTGCATGCCGGTAATCTCAGTTTCTTGGGAGGTTCGGGTGGGATGATCGCTTGAACCTGGGAGGCGGAGGCTGCAGTGAGCCGAGATCACGCCACTGCACTCCAGCCTGGGCGACAGAATGAGGCTTTTTCTTTAAAAAAAAAAAAAAAGGAAAAAAAAAGGCACATTTATCTCACCTTCCCTCCTATTCTGGGAATGCTAACATCCTCAGGGAATCTCCCATATTGGTCCCCTATAACCCAAGACTTGGGAGTTTCACAGCCCCACTCTAGGTCTGAAAACAACACAAAAGTTGTTCTAAGGGATGAAGCCACCCTCAATAAAACTGGAAGTCAAAGCCTGCATATAAGCCCCACTCCCTCCTGCCTAAAAAAGGAAAGGTATTTAGATGTTTTTGTCATGGATACTTTACTGGGATCAGGTAAGAACTGAACAAATGCAGTAAGTTATTGGAGAGTTAAAGGTTAAAAAAGGCCGTGTGCAGTCGCTCACCTGTAGTCCCAGGGTGAGGCCAGGGCAGGTGTGTCGCTTGAGCTCACAAGTAACGAGACCAGCCGGGGTAACGTGGTGAAACCTCATCTCGACAAAAAATACAAAATTAGCCGGGCATGATGGTGTGTGCCTGTAGTCCCAACTACTTGGGAGCCTGAACTGGGGAGGATGGCTTGAGCCCAGGAGGCAGAGGTTGCAGTGAGCTAGATCGTGCCACTGCTCTTCAGCCAGGGTAATAGAGCCAGACCTTGTCTCAAAATAATAATAGCAATTTTAATAGTTTTAAAATTTTGAACTAGTTAGAACCTCTTTGATATTTACCTCACCTAGGAAATTGGGATCAGCCCAGCTTTCAAAGGGAGGTACATGAATTTAGGACTGCAGAGTACAGCAAATTTTAGTTCCTGATATGGCCATGCTTTCCTAAGAAGTTTCCAAAGGTTATTGACTCTCAGCTTAGCCTTTTCTACTGCACAATGTGATAGATGCTGTAAATCAGCGTTTAGAGGTGTTTATCTAACTCTCCCTAGTGGGAGATGGGGAAATTTTCACTGAGAATGTAACTCTGCACCATGAGCAGATGTTTGCTAAGTGGGCAAGGATTGAGTGGGGGATGTCTTAAACTGAGGGAAAACATTTGTAAAAGCAGAAAGGGGTGAGGATATGACAGCAAATTTACTATAGCTAACATGAGAGAGAAGAGGAAGGGTAGTAAATAGAATTGAAGAGGGTAGCCAAGGGCCAAATATAAATTTGTATTACAAGCTAAGGAATTTTTATCCAGTCATAAAGAGCCACTGAAAGATTTTATGCAGGGGATTATAATGATCAGATTAGCATATTAAGAAGATGATTTTGGCAATAGTATGGAGTCTGGTTGATAGGGAGGCCAGGTAGGAGGCTACTGAAGTAGTCTGGACAAGAGATGAAGTGTACCTAAACTAAGGCATGGGGATGGAACGGAACTTAGCATTACAGGCAGTTACTTAAATGGCTAGGGGAAGCAAGAGGAAGCAAGAATCATTCCTTGGTTTAATGGTTTGGATGGATGGTGGTGGTCTTTGTTGACGCTAGATATACAGGAGTAGAAAAGCCACTAAAAAAACCCACACACATTTCTGTTTTATGTAGGCATCTTGTATAGGACAGACTAACAAAAATGAAACTGTTTCTTAAATTTAATTGAAATACAATCAGCAATTTTCTCATTATAATTTTACTTAACCCTGTACAGTTCAGTCTACAAAAATAAGTATTGGTAGAATAGCCAGGTGCAGTGGTGTGTGCCTGTATTCCCAAGCTGCTCTGGAGGCTGAGGCAGGTGGATCACTTGAACCCGGGAGTTCGAGTGCAGCCAGAGCAGCATAGTGAGACGCTGTCTCTAAATATTAAAAAAAAAAAAAAGTTTTTTTGTACTAAAGTGAATGTCTGATATCTGCACACCCCACAGAATGTACAGTGGAATTCTAATGCCTTATCTCTGAACTTACTATATATAACATTGATATAACCTTTTCTATTGTTTTTGACGCCTATTTTATTCAGTTAGCATTATTTCCCTTGGCATCCTTATAGCCAGGCAATCCCTTATGATGAAATTAAAAAAAAAAAAAAGACCAACTTTAATGATCTAAGGCTGTGCTGCTTGATATGGGAGCCACTTAGCCACATGTGACTTGAGTATTTGAAACTTGACTAGTTCAAAATGAAATGAGCTGTAGATGTAAAATACTCACTGGATTTCAAAGATTTAATATCTCACTAACATTTTTGTATGTTTATTACATGTTGGAGCAATATTTTGGATACAAGAAGTAAAATTTATTGTCATGATGAATTTTTCCTGTTTTTGTTGTTGTTGTTGTTGTTGTTGTTAACTATTTTTAAAATGTAGCTACCCCTGTAATCCCAGCACTTTGGGAGGCCGAGGTGTGTGGATCATGAGGTCAGGAGATCGAGACCATCCTGGCTAACACAGTGAAACCCTGTCTCTATTAAAAATACCAAAAATTAGCCGGGCATGGTGGCACACACCTGTAGTCCCAGCTAGTCGGGAGGCTGAGGCAGGAGAATCGCTTGAACCCAGGAGGTGGAGGTTGCAGTGAGCTGAGATCACACCACTGTACTCCAGCCTGGATGACAGAGTGAGACTCTTTCTCAAAAAGAAAAAAAAGTAGCTACTAGAAAAATTTAAATTATATATATGGTTCACATTATCTTTCTATTAACTTTCTTTGCTTACTAAGTTTATTTCAGTTCCATTATCTGCCTAGTTTCTATGCTAGGTGTGCCTAACTTCTATACTAGCTAGAGATTTGCTGCATATGATTAACAGCTGTTTCATTTTAATTCATTATAAGTGCCTGGAAACTGCAATAATGCAAAATTGTCTTCCCATATTTTGGAAACAAGGTTAAAAAGTTCTATAGCACCCTATAGTTGATTAGTAAGAACTTCAACGCAGAATATCTGCAGGAAACTGATTTTTGTAGATGTTATCACAATTCATTTTGATATCTGTAAGTTGGATAGTGTTTATTAACTCTTCTGCAAATAAATTATTTCTTAGAATGAAAGTCTCCAAGCTGGTACATGGATAGGATTGGACTAGAGAAAAAGCTTATTTGAAACACATTTTATGAGGGTTTTCATTTATTGCCTAAACACTATAAAATTTTTTTGCCATGTTCCAGTTGACACAGGCCAAGAAATGCCTGAACAGGTAGCAAACACACCTAGCAAACAGGGATGGCTACCATATCAAAAAGTCTCTCTGCTAAGGTGAGGTGCAGGGTTTCTTTTTGGGGTGATGAAAATGTTCTAAAATTAGATAGTAGTGATGCTCACACAACTCTATAAATATACTAAAATCACTGAATTGTATACTTTAAAAGGGTGAGTGTAAGGGTATGTGCAATATAGCTCAATAAAGCTGTTATAAAAAAATTCTGAAGCATGCTTATCTGTTGCAGTTACTGATTTACTAGTCATTTAATGAGAATTAAGTGAGCAGACACAGAAAGCAACCATATGTTCAAGAACTACAGTGATCAGACAAAAATGGACTGTCCTTTTTTGACTTCTGTGTGAGCCCCACAGATCTGGTGGCATTTAGGGAAGCCTAATGGCCTTCTTTTGTGAGTACTTGTGAAAGTTACTAACAATGTATTAGATTGCTAATACATTCAAATTCTAATGTAAAATGAATGTGATACACTGAAAGGTACAGACTGAATCCAGCAGATGAGTAGAAAGAAAACCACTCCAATATTTAATCATTTGTTGTTAAGGAATTTATCCATTAACAAAGTTTTTAGACAGAGTTGTTTATATCTACTCAAGGTGTCATTATGCACATCTGTTTCTTGTACCTCAGGTTCATCCTATAGAAAATCATGCTAACTCACAAGTCATGCAGTGTTTTCAAAAAGACAAGTCATGCAGTGTTTTCAAGTTCAGAGAGTAGCAAAGGATGCAAATCTAATTTCTTTACCATTTGCTACCATCTGAAGTTAGTAACATTTTTTGGCTAATCACCAAGCACCCAGAAAGAAAGAAATAGAGCAAATTTGGTGCATCGTTTGTCTTCCGTATCTCCTTTCGAAGTCATTTCCACAGGATAAGTGCCAAAGCACAGAAAAGAAGCTAGGCCCCACTTTTACTCTCATGAACAAAAGTCTTCCCATAGATTTTTACATAGCTGCTGCATTTGTCATCCCTTTCCTGAAGAGCTTTGTTGCTGTGGTCTTGCTCTAGGGCTGCTTTCAGCAACATTTCTGACGCAGGTTTAATGCTGATTAGCCCTAAAACAATTCTAGGGCAGGGCTCCCTGCCAGGATAAAGAATGAACAAAATTGGTTTGCATATAGGCCAGCTGCAGTTGCTGCAGCTAGAGTCTGTCAAACTAGGACCATTTTCTTGTTTACCAAGATGAGGTTAAATTAGCACAGCATGAGGCAAAAAAAAAAGATTTAAAAAACCCAGAAAATTAGCTATGCTTTTGAGTATGATGCAGTGAGTGTGGAATTAAGGTGATTTTAAGTTAGTTTGAGAAGGGAAGGTAATATACAGTACTAAAAGCTTGATTAAAAGCTGCTTGAAGATATTTGCTTGCTAACTATCTTAGTAAAAAAAAAAAAAGGTATATTTGAATAGTGCCTCAAAGCTCACAGATTACATGTAGAAAAGTCTGTTGGCCCATTTTTATTGAGTATGTGCCTCATGCTTACATGCTTAGCCCTGGTCCTGGCACAAGGGTACAGAGGTGGACATTTAATAGAGGAAGACACTGTCTTTGAGACTGGGTTTCTGGAGACTCTTAATTCAAGCCTCAGCTCTGTCTTTAATTCTCACCTTAGGCAAACCATGTTAGCTGAGCATCTGTGTTCTCCTAATGTAAACAATGAGAGAGGGAGAGGGACTGCTCAGGCTCTTAAAGATAATTCAAGTCTAACATTTTTTGAATTATTTGTTTGTGTAGTGTTATTTCCTAAAATATTTGAATCAAGTTTTATGTGTTCATAGTCTCTGATAGTGGGACATCCAGTCTGGTTGAGGAGGAAAGATGAGCTGTGTAATCAGAGAAGCTGAATGTGAGAGGTTTCTGACTTCCAGAGCTTCAGTTTATAAAGCTCTTTCCCTGCCTCTCCACTTTGCACTGCTCCCATTGCAGAGACTGCCCGCAGATCTACCTTTGGGAACTCAGGCTTTTTATTCCAGCAATGCAAGGCTGAGTTGAGGGAAGGAGCCCCCACTTTCTCATCCACCTGCAAAGGCAAGAGTACATAGCTGCAGGTAACAAGTTATAGGAAGGGTTAGTGTGAGGCAGAAAGGCACAGTAAAGGATAAACTTCATAGTGTTTGATGATCCCCAAAGTGTCATTTGACTTCTTAGACTCCCAGAACCCCTGTGCTTCACTTCCCAGCCCTTCATCAACTCTGGATTCAAGGACTTCTGAACTTGATCTCTGTCACTTTCTCCTCCCTGACCTTCCCAGATCCCAGTCTTGGATCATTAAAAGCACCCCTACTAGTTTAGGGCTGGGAAATGAGGAGACTTAATCATCTTATAACATTGTTCCTATGGGAGGTGAATTCTTTTACAGACTAACGTCCAAATACAATCGTTAGTAAAACTAAGGCTACAGCTGTTAATTTAACTGAAGCTTGTGTAGTTATGGAGAGATTGTTTCTTTTATCAGTTCATATTTCTATGCACTTCTCATTCAGTACTGTGCTATACTTTTCACTGCCCTTCACCTCAGCTAAGATGGTTTTCACCTTAAGTCTCAAGACAAAGGCAGCAAACAGCCAATACAGAATTAGGGCATAGAGCTGGGTGTGATACAGGGTGCTAACTACTCATAGTCCGCTTTAAGCGCAGGATAGAGGACATTCTCACAGAAAAACAAAACAAAACAAACATTTGCCTATATTAGATAATCAAGTGGGTAGGGCTTAGAGAAAAAAGGAATCACCGTGGGTTGTAGTGGGGTAGTTTATACATGTAGGAAACAGTCCTGAAAGATATGGATGTGCAGAATGGAGGCTGATGTTCTGAGCTCCAGCTGAGGGAATTTTCATTTATCTAAAGTTTTTATTTCTGTTTTTTTTTCCCCAGCCGAATTTAAGATTCATATTTCTGTTTTAAAAAGTTGTGAAATGAATATAGCAAAGTGTTAACATTTGTTGAATTCAGGAGGGAAGGTATCTACACACAGTGTTAATTATTTCTGTTTTACTTCTCTATATGCTCTAATTTCTTCTTTTTAATTTTTTTGAGATAGGGTCTCACTCTGTTGCCCAGGCTGGAGTGCAGTGGCACGATCAGGGCTCACTGCAGCCTCAACATCCTGGACTCAAGCAGCCCTCCCACTTCAGTCTCCCAAAGTGCTGGGATTAGAAGGTGTGAGCCACAGGGCCCAGCCTGAAATTTTTTAAAATTACAGACAGGAAAATAAATTGCATTAAAGTTGAGCAGCCCAAGAAACAAAGGAAAGAACTTAAATAATATATAGATCAGATGGTCAGCTCTTGAAAAGGTAGGTGTTAATGGCAGTCAGATATTATATCAGTCTTGAAGGAGCACATAAATCGTATATTGTTTTGCAACCAAAGAACAGAAAAATGACTGCTATCATCAATGATGAAAGCTCAAATGTGATGAAGAAATGGAAAAAATAGATAATGGGCCAAGGTTTCTTCATGGCTTGGGGTTAACTTTTTTTTTTTTTTTTTTTTGAGACAGGGTCTCACTCTTATTGTCCAGGCTAGAGAGGAGTGGCGTGATCACAGCTCACTGCAACCTCACCATCCCTAGACTCAGGTGATCCAGTTCAACCTCCCAAGTAGCTGTCTGGGACTATAGGTGTGCACCACCACAGCTGTCTAATTTTTATATTTTTTGTGGAGACAAGGTTTTGCCATGTTGCCCAGGCTGGTCTCAAACTCGTGGGCTCAAGTGATCTGCCCACCTTAGCCTCCCAAAGAGCTAACAGACGCGAGCCACCGTGCCCACCCATGCTTAATTTGTTTAGGTGCGAGATATACTAACACAGAGAATATGCTGTACATCATTAGAGAAAATGAATATAAATAAATGACATACTTTAGTAATTATCAAAAGGAGCAAGTTCAGCCCAATAAACAAGGGGCAACCTAGTTTTCATACCCATACATCTACGTGCAAGATAAGTGTAATCACTTTTTTCGGAAAGAGTAGCTTTTAATGCATATATTTAAATTATTTTAAGATATGCTCTAAAGCCTCTCCATTGTGCTATAATTGTCTCTAACAGTTGAATTTTTGCCTTTTCAAGAATTTCTTCTATAAATGCTGAGGGAAGAACCATTACTGATAAATTTTCTATATTCCTAATATGCTTGGCTAAGCTTGTAGCAAGGCTCAATATATTTGTTGGTTGGCAGTACAGAATTTTGAGTAGTCTATTTATACCAGTAATATTGTGTTACTAGTGAATAGATGAGTTTAATCTTAGTGTAAAAAGCATATCTATGTAACAGTTTTTCTACTGATTAATTGTATATAATTGAACAGAGTTCAAGTTCATTCCTTTTTTTGTTCATTCCTTCATACAAAATGGGAAGTTGTTTAGAACTCATCCTGAAAGGAATTGACATACTGTAGTCTCTCACAGAAGTACAACTTAATAAACATTTATGGCAATAAAATTTACCCACCATGTAAGTATATCTGCAAAACTATAAGTATGTGGAATGGTCTTACAGAAGTACAAAATTAATAATGTAGTTTCCCTGGTTATTTCTCATCTATTTCTATATCATACTGTGAAAGAATCCAATACTGTTACAATAATAATAATAATGATAATTTAAACATAATTTCAGTATAATTATAATCGCAATTTTAAAAAATGTATGTGTATGTATTTAGAGATGGGGTCTCACTCTGTCACCCAAGCTGAAGTGCAGTGGCACAATCATAGCTCCCTGCAGCCTTGAACTTATGGGCTCATGTGATCCTTCCACCTCAGCATCCCAAATAGCTCGGACTGCAGACATGCACCACCACACTCGGCTTATAATCGCAAGTCTTACGTTCTGTTTTCTTTTTAGAGACAGGGTCTCACTCTGTTGCCCAGGCTGCAGTACAGTGGCACTATCAGAGCTGACTGCAGCCTTGAACTTCTGTGCTCAAGTAATCCTTTCACTTCAGTCCCTTGAGTAGCTAGGACTGCAGGTGTGCACCACCATGCCTAATTAAAAAAAAATTTTTTTTTTTGTAGAGAAAAAGGTCTTGATATGTTGCCCAGGCTGGTCCAAAGTGATTCTCCTGCTTCAGCCTCCCAAAGTGTTGGGATTACAGGCGTGAGCCACTGCACCCAGTGTCACAAATCTTAATTTTTTTTTTTTTTTGAGACGGAGTCTCACTTTGTCACCCAGATGGAGTGCAGTGGTGCAGTCTCAGCTCACTGCAACCTCTGCCTCCCTGAATCAGATTCAAGTGATTCTCCTGCCCTAGCCTCCCGAGTAGCTGGGATTACAGGCACGCGCCACCACACCTGGCAAATTTTTTGTATTTTTAGTAGAGATGGGTTTTTACCATGTTGGCCAGGCTGGTCTCAAACTCCTAATGTCAAGTGATCCACCCACCTTGGCCTCCCACAGTGTTGTGATTACAGGCGTGAGCCACTATGCCCAGCCTTAAATTTTTATTAAATAACCTTCATAGTCCTACAAAACCATTATTGTAGAATTTGTACAAACAAGGTAAAAATCTTTACACAAAGTCAGTAGTATTCCTGTGTTCTTTCAACTAGCCCATGTTCATAATTATTCGTTTATTCTCATATGCCTAACGATGAGGATACATTCTGAGAAAATCACTATTAAGAGGTTTTGTTATTGTGCAAACATCATAGAGTGTGCTTATATAAAACTAGGTAGCATAGCCTACTACAAACCTTGACTATATGATACAGCCTGTTGCTCTTATTGTTATAAAAGATTTAAACATTTTATTTATAAACTGGTATTACCAACTTTCCCCTATTTCTGAATATTTAGGTAAGAAGCAAAAATAAGTTATCCTGGCTTTGTGTAGTGGCTCATACCTGTAATCACAGCACTTTGTGAGGCTGAGGTGGGAGGATTGCTTGAGCTCAGGAGTTTGAGACCAGCTTGGGCAACATAGTGACACCCTGTCTCTCTCTACAAAAAATTTTAAAGAAGATTAGCCAGGTGTGGTGGCACATTCCTATAATCCTAGCTACTTGGGAGACTGAGGCAGGAGGATTGATTGAGCCCAGGAGTTCAAGGTTACCATGAACAATGATTGTGCTACTGCATTCCAGCCTGGGTGACAGAGTGAGACCCTGTCTCTTAAAAAAAAAAAAAAATGTTATCTGAGGGACTTACAAGCAATGACACCCCAGAGGTCTTCATTTCTAATACCATTTTCCAATTAAAGGAGCAGGGGGTCCTTGGAGAAATGTCTGATTTCTAGAAATGGGGCAAGAAATATGAGCCTTATACTGCTGGCAATTAAGGAAGTGCTCAAAAACCCAAAACAGAACAAAGAAGCCACACAACACATAGATGGGGGTGCATCAAATGGGCATAGGAGCCAAATAAAAGAGTTGTAAATGGCCCAAACTGGAACACACTGAGCAGAAAAATAAAAGTCTGTCATGACTTAAAATATAAAATAAATATGCATGAGTCCATACTGATGTAAATAAATGATCAGATAAATTAGTAAATGGAGAAGAGACAAATCTCCCTTACAGAAGAATTCCAAATGATAGAGGTAGATACGTACTTTACCCTCAAGAGGTGAAGTATAACTCTCTATTTCTAAAATGTGGGTTGGGTAGAGTGATTTCCATCTGAAGATTGCAATATAGAAAAGGAGAGAAAAAAGAACTTTTCTGTGGAGAAGCCTGAAGAACACTATCTTAGCCAAGTGATCAAGGTTAACATCAACTGTGATGTCATATTGACAGTATGAATCATTGATATTAAGTGATGAAAATGGCACTTTACCTGTGTGGTCTTCCCCAAACCTATAAACTCAGTATAATCATGAGAAAAACATCAGACAAATCCCAGTTGAGGGACCTTCTACAAAATACCTGACCAATACTACTCAAAACTATTAAGGTCATCTAAAACAAGGAAAATGTGAGAAACCGTCACAGCCAAGAGGAACTTAGGGAGGCTTGACTGCTCTAATGTGGTATTTTGGGTGAGATTCTTGAACACAAAAAGGATCTTAGGTAAAAACTCAGAAAATCTAGATAAAGTTTAGACTTTCGCTAATAATGTACCAAATACTGGTCGTTAATTTTAATAAATGTACTAATGTAAGATGTTACTATTAGGAGAAACTGGTTTTAGGGTATGTGGAAACTTTACTATTTTCCCTA